>NC_000020.11:2642092-2793607 GCF_000001405.40 Homo sapiens | reverse complement strand
CAGGCGGGAGGTGGGCAGGGTGTGGAGTATGGACAGGGATGGCTCCAAGGAGGAGGGTCAGCCAAAGGTGGGTCAGCTGAGAACATTTGAATTTGCTTCAGCCATTCTCAGAGTATTGATAACTGATAGGCTTTGCTGAGTTTCTATCAGACTGAAGGGGAAGTTGTGTATCAGTCTGTGTCTTGCCAGGTAAACAACCCATTCTAGGCACTTAAAGTGGAGGGAAATTTAATGCTGGAAATTGGATAGGAAGGTGTTGGAAGAGCTGGATGAGGCCGGGTGTGGTGGCTCACACCTGTAATCCCAGCACTTTGGGAGGCTGAGGTGGGAGGATTGCTTGAGCCCAGGAGTTTGAGACCAGCCTGGATAACATAGCCAAACCCCGCCTCTACAAAAATAAGAAATAAGAAACATAGCCAGCTGTAGTGGCGCATGGCTAAGGGAGGCAGAGGCAGGAGGATCACTGGAGCCTGGGAGGTGGAGGCTGCAGAGGCAGCAGTGAGCCATGATGGCGCCACTATACTCCAACCTGGATGGTCATAACAAAATAAACAAAAAAGAGCTGGATGAACAAAAGGAAGGGAATTTTACCCAGAAATCAGGATAGCACCCTTGGTCTGGTGCTTATAACCTGTATTTGCTGATGGTGCTGGAGGCTTGTAATCACTTGTGACTGCTTGCAACCACAGGCAATCACCTGCCATGGCTAGAGCCAGAAACAGGACCGTTTCTCATTTCCTCCCACTTTCTAGTCCCTGAGCTATGAAGTCCACTGGCAAAATCTAACAGTAACTCAGCTGGCAAGGAAGCCTACAAAATGTAGTCTCCCAACCCCCTTGTCATTCAGAGTAGAGCTTCCAAGGACAGGAATGGGGCAAATAGTAATAGGCAAAATCTGGCATAAAGACATCATGCAGCCTTTTGCCATGTAAGTTCTGCCTACTGCTTGGCTCTTGCACTGTTTCTTGAGATGTCTCTGTCTCTCCCACACAGCGTCAATATCCATTAATCGCCATGAAGGATCTAGTACCAAATTTCCCTGCACCTTTTCTCCTCACCTCCACTTATAGTGTCATTTTTCAAAAACAGATTTTTAATTCATTGAAGTTTATCGTATATAATGAAAAGTGCATGTAAGTTCACAGCCATATAAATGTACACAGACAGAGCACACTCAGGGACCCATAACCCAGGTTTAAAAAACCCCAATACTACCAGCACTCCAAAATTCTCCCTTTGTGTACCCTTCCAGTCAATACCCCTGTCTGTCAAGGGTAACCACTATCCTCACATCTAACATCATAGTTTAACTTTGCCTGCTTTTTTGTCTAGGATTTCTTGTTATTGTACTCTTGAGTTTGTTCTACAGTTTCTTGGATTCTATTTTGGTTTCATTGGATATAAGTGTTCTTAGGTGTAGATGATAGAATCCACTCTAAATAGCACTCTAAATAAGCAGAAAGGGATTGATTAAAGGGTCTTAGGAAGCTCACACACTCTCCAGGAGGGCTGGAAACTGGACTTGGATGCTCCATAACCAGAAACGTTACAGTCAGTGTCAACAAAGGCAAGAGGGAATCCCCAACCATGTATGTCATGGGAATATTCCTAGAGAAATAATCACTTTCACCATTGCTTTATATTTGGCAACTAAGATACTGGGGACTAGATGCCAGAACATTTCATATTCGTACCAAAGAAACCATACAGCTCCACTACCATGACTGTCAGAAAATCTGATCTCCCTGAATGTGTTTGACACTTCCTTTTGCCATTCTTAGCTCCAAGTTCAGGGCCTGTGCATCTGTTTGACAGGACCTAGGTTACACGAGGAATGCCAGGTAGAAAAGAAGCTGGGATATTTAGCTTTTAGCTTTCCAGCCTTTACATTATAGGAAGTCAAGCCAAAGAGATGTTAAAATGAAGTTAAATGGACCAGTCTCTGTCTATATACCTTCCTTCCTTCCTTCCTTTTTCTTTTTATGAGAGAGTCTAGCTCTGTCGTCCAGGCTGGAGCGCACTGGCGCAATCTCAGCTCACCGCAACCTCCGCCTCCCAGGTTCAAGCAATTCTCCTGTCTCAGCCTCCAGAGTAGCTGGGATTACAGGCGTGTGCCATCACGCCCAGCTAGTTTTTGTATTTTTAGTGGATATAGAGTTTCACCATGTTGGCCAGGCTAAACTCCTGACCTCAGGTGATCGGCTACCCAAAGTGCTGGGATTACAGGCGTGAGCCACCGTGCCTGGCTGGTCAGCCTATATTATCTGAAATATTGTAGAATATCCATAAGTAGGATCACAGTATTGTACAACTTTAGGGAACACTGTTTGTAAAATGAACAGAGAATTTTATATCGGTCAGTCTGTTACATGTGACACATAATTTTTAAAATGAACCGAAAATTTTACATCAGTAAACTTGTTACTCAATTGTCATACAAATAATTTTTTAAGTACAATAAGCATCACATTAAAAATCAAGGAAATGAGGCAGCAGTAACAAATAGGAGATCTAGACCTACAAAGATTTAATACATTTGAATCACCAGTTACAGATTATAAAACAACCATGTTCACATTGTGTAAAATAAAAGTCATACAAGATGCCTCCTCAGATTAGAGAAAAAAAAAAACGTTAAAATGAGCTATTTGGGTCAGGTGCTGTGGCTTGCGCCTGTAATCTCAGCACTTTGGGAGGTCAAGGCAGGCAGATCACCTGAGGTCACGAGTTCAAGACCAGCCTGGCTAACATGGTGAAACCCTGTCTCTACTAAAAATACAAAAATTAGCCAGGTATGGTGGTGGGTGCCTGTAATCCAAGCTACTCAGGAGGCTGAGGCAGGAGAATTGCTTGAATCCCGGAGGTGGAGTTTGCAGTCAGCCTGGGCGACAGAGCGAGACTCCCGTCTCAAAAAATATATATTTATATCTATATATCTATATCTATATAACCTAACAATTTCTACAAATAAAAATACAATAACCTAAACTAAAAACTGAATGGGTATGTATAGTAGTGGGTTAGACAGTTAAAGAGAGAATTAATGAGCTAGAAGTTAGGACAGAAGAGAATATCCTTTCTGGGGAAAGGACAGAGAGAGATAGAGGAAAATGTGGAAAGAGATAGAAAATATTGAAGAGATGTTAAAAGACATGGAAGAAAAGCTGACAAGTGAAGAGAGGAAGAGTGGTGAGAGACAGCTTTTTTTTTTTTTTTTTTTTTTTGAGACAGGGCCTCACTCTCACCCAGAGTGCAGTCATCAAAGCTCACTGCAGCCTCGACCTCCTGAACTCAAGCGATCCTCCCACCTCACCCTCCTGAGTAGCTGGGTCTGCAGGCATGCACCACCATGCCCAGCTAAGTTTTGTATTTTTTGTAGAGACGGGGTCTTCCTATGTTGCACAGGCTGGTCTCAAACTCCTGGGTTCAAGTGGTCCTTCTGCCTCAGCCTCTCCAAGTGTTGAGATTATGGGCATTAGCCACCACCAAAGTCAAGAGCAATTTTTTATTTTTTATTTTCGAGACAGGGTCTCACTCTACCACATAGGATGGAGTGCAGTGGCGTGATCACTGCCCATTGCATGCAGCCTCAACCTCCTGGACTCAAGCGATCCTTCCACCTCAGCCTCCCAGGTAGTTGGGACTGCAGGCATGTAGCACCATGCCCAGCTAATTTTTGCATTTTTTGTAGAGACAGGGTTTTGCCATGTTTCCCAGGCTAGTCTTGAAATCCTGAGTTCAAGGGATCCTCCCACCTCGGCCTCCCAAAGTGCTGGGATTACAGGTGTGAGCCACTGTGCCCAGTCCAACAGCAACTTTTGAAGAGATGCTAACAGAATTTTTCAGAACTGATGAAAGACACCAATTCACAGGTACACGAATCCTGACAAACCCCAAGAAGAATAAATAACCCAATATAATAATGGGCAAAAGATGTGAACATGCGTTTCACAAAAGGAACAGTTCAGCATGACTGAACTGGCATGTGAGCTCCCCAAGTGATGTCCAAGCTCTGGATTCTCTTCATTTACAGCTAAGACATTTCCATGGCCAGAAATCTTCATCTGTTGTTGCTAGTTTTCCAGGGGCCCCCAGCCCTCGCTTGCCTTTGTAAATATGTAGAGTGTCATGAGAAGGTGTCCACTCTCCTGGAACTCTTTCAACAGTGAGTTTAGCCCTGCCTGACCTAAGCAAGCTTCCTTTTGGATAAAGGGAATTTGGGGCATCATATACATTTTTTTCCAACTCTTTGCCTGGAAGTTTCCTCTAGTAAACCCTTACCTGTGTCTGTACCACATATCATTAGAAGTATTTGCTCTTGCATTCCATTTGACATGTGTGGTATGAGAAGATGGAGAACACCTCAGCATAATCTAGTAGCATTAAAGACACACATGCCCAATTCTTAGATATATAATATATACCATAGAGAAACTCTTATACACATACAAAAGATACATGTACATGAATGCTCATAGCAGTTTTGTTTGAAATAGATCCAAATTGGAAGAAATCCAAATGTCCACTAAAAATAGAATGAAGAGGCCAGGTGTGGTGGCTCACACCTTTAATCCCAGCACTTCAGGAGGCTGAGATGGGTGGAATGCTTGAGCTCAGGAGTTCAAGACCAGTGTGGGGAACATGGAAAAATGCTATCTCTACAAAAAATACAAATATTAGCCAGGCATGAAGGCACCTACTTGTGGTCCTAGCTACGTGGGAGGAGGAGCTGGGAGGATCACGAGCCCAGCAGGAGGTTGAGGCTGCAGTGAGTAGTGATCACGCCACTGCACTCCAGCCTGGGTGACAGAGTGAGACCCTGTCTCAAAAAAAAAAAGAAAAAAAAAAAAGGAGAAAAGAATGAAGAATAAAATATGGTACATTTGTGCAATTGAGTTATACAAGAATGAAAATAAGTAAACTAGTACACAAAACATAGATGATTCTTGCAAAACAATTCTGAGTAAATAAGCAAAATGCAAAAGGAAAAGAATTGCATTTTTTAGTGATGCATGAATAATAAAAAGATAAAGAACAGCTGGGCACAGTGGCTCACATCTGTAATCCCAGCAGCGAGGGAGGCCAAGGCGAGAAGATTGCGTGAGCGCAAGAGTTCAAGACCAGCCTGCACAACACAGCGAGACCTGGTCTCTAAAAAACAAAATTCAAAAATTAGCTGGTTGTGGTGGTGTGTGCCTGTGGTTCAAGCTACTTGAGGGGCTGAGGCAGGAGGATCGCTTGTACCCAGGAGGTTGAAGCTGTAGTGAGCAGGAATTGCACCACTGCATCCCAGCCTGGCCAACAGAGTGAGATCCTGTCTCAAAAACAAAGAAACAAACAAAAAAAGATAAAAAAAGAGCAGGGACGTGATTATGATAAAATTTAGAATTGTGATTGATTCTATGGGGGAGCAATGAGGCAACATTCAGGGAGAAGAACATAGGGAGCTTCTGGAATGCTCACAATGTGCTTTTCCCTTACTTGGATGAGAGTACATGAGTGTTCACTTAAACATATGTGTTCATGCCAGATGTGGTGTCTCACGCCTGTAATACCAGCACTTTGTGATGCCGAAGTGAGCAGATCACCTGAGGTCAGGAGTTCAAGACCAACCTAACCAACGTGGAGAAACCCCGTCTCTACTAAAAATACAAAAAAAAAAAAAAAAAAAAAGCTAGGCTTGGTGGTGAGTGCCTGTAATACCAGCTACTTGGGAGGCTGAGGTACGAGGTTGAACCCGGGAGTCAGAGGTTGCTGTGAGCCGAGATCACGCCATTGCACTCCAACCTGGGCAACAAGAACAAAACTCCACCTCAAAAAAATAAAATAAAAATATATATTCAGCGTTGAGTGAACATACTAAGTATTTTTAAAAATTATCAATTTTCGGCCGGGCACGGTGGCTCACACCTGTAATCCCAGCACTTGGGGAGGCAGAGGCAGGCGGATCACAAGGTCAGGAGATTGAAAGCATCCTGGCCAACATGGTGAAACCCCATCTCTACTAAAAATACAAAAATTAGCCAGGTAGTCCCAGCTACTCGGGAGGCTGAGGCAGAAGAATCGCTTGAACCTGGGAGGTGGAGGTTGCGGTGAGCTGCCATCATGCCACTGCACTCCATCCAGCCTGGGTGACAGAGTGAGACTCCATCTAAAAAAAAAAATTATCAATTTTCATTTATTGGCATTTAAAAAATATGCATATGATAAAATTCACCTTTTCGATGTACAGTTCTATGAGTCACATGCATAGATTCTTGTATCGACTACCACCACCCTCATAGAAACAGACATCAAAGGGCTGGGTGCCGCGGCTCACGCCTGTAATCCCAGCACTTTGGGAGGCCGAGACGGGCAGATCACGCGGTCAGGAGATCGAGGCCGTCCTGGCTAACACGGTGAAACCCCATCTCTACTAAAAATACAAAAAATTAGCCGGGCGTGGTAGCGGGCGCCTGTAGTCCCAGCTACTTGGGAAGCTGAGGCAGGAGAATGGCGTGAACTGGGGAGGTGGAGGTTGCATTGAGCCGAGATGGCACCACTGCACTCCAGCCTGGGCGACAGAGCGAGACTACATCTCAAAAAAAAAAAGAAACACACCACAGAATTCCCTTATGCTGTCCCTTTGTATTCGGATCCTTCTTCTACTCCAACCCTAGGCAACCGCTGATCTATTTCCTGTTTTTATACTTTTGCTTTAGTTCAACGAACTCTCAGCAGGACAATTTCAAAGATATCCACATCTAGAAATATTATAATCAAACTGTCAAAGCCAAAGACAAAGAGAAAATCTTGAAAGCAGCAAGAAAGGAGCAACTCATCATGTATAAGGAATCCTCAGTAATATTAACAGCTTACTTCTTATTGGAAACCATGGTGGCTGGGGTGGTGGAGGAGAAAGGAGCGGGAGGAAATATCCAAAAGAAAGAAAAAGACTGTCAGCTAAGAATTCTAAATCCAGCAAAACATCCTTCACAAATGAAGTAAAGGCCGGGCATGGTGGCTCACCCCTGTAATCCCAGCACTATGGGAAGTTGAGGTGGGCAGATCACTTGAGATCAGGAGTTCGAAACCAGCCTGGCCAACGTGGTGAAACCCTGTCTCTATTAAAAATACAAAAATTAGCTGGGCGTGGTCATGCATGTCTGTAATCCCAGCTACTCAGGAGGCTGAGGCACAAGAATCGCTTGAACCTGGGAGGCAGAGGTTGCGGTGAGCTGATAGGGCGCCACTGCACTCCAGCCTGGGTGACAAAGTAAGACCCTGTCTGAAAAAATATATATAAAGAAAAAAGAAAAAAAAAAGGGAATGAAGTACAAATACATACTACAACATGGATAAACCTTGAGAACATTATGTTAAGTAGAAGATGCCAGATGCCAGTGACAAGGGCCATATAGTGTATGAGTCCATTTGTAGGAAATATCCAGACTAGGCAAAACTATAGAGACAGAAAGCAGCAGATTAGTGGTTGCTTAGGGCTGGGCATAATTGAGGAAGAGGGATGATAGCTAAAGAGAACAGTTTTTATTTTTATTTTCATTTTTTTAAGAGACAGAGTCTTGCTCTGTCACCCAGGCTGGAGTACAGTGGCATGATCATAGCTTACTGTGGCCTTGAACTCCTGGGCCCCTCCTGCCTCAGCCTCCTGAGTAGCTGGGACTAGGTGGAGTCTTGCTGTGTTGCTCAGGCTGCTCGCAAACTCCTGGCCTCAAGTGATAGTCCTGCTTTGGTCTCCCAAAATGTTTGGATTGCAAGTGTGAGCCACTGCACCTGGCCTTTTTAATTTTTTATTTTAGGTGATAAAAATGTTTTAAAATGGACTGTGCTGATGGCAATACATACTTATGAATATATTTTAAAAAGTTGAATTGTACACATTAAATGGATGAATTGTATGGTTGTGAATTTTATCTCAAAACTGTTTTCAAAAAAATCTGCATTGATGAGTGTACAGTGTTTAAAAATGTAATTTGTATTACAATAAGAGCACAAAGGGGAGGGGAGAAATGGAACTAAATGAGAGAAAATTGAAATTAAGTTATGTTGGTATTAATTGAAATTAATTTGGCATTAACCCAACCTAGATGTTAAAAGTTAAGATGTTATTGTAATCCTCAGCACAACCACCAAGAAAACAATTCAAAAAATATATAGGAAAGGAAGAGCAGGGGAATTAAAAAGATACTGTGGAAAATATTTATTTAATACAGAAGAGGGCAGCAATGGAAGAAGAAGAATAAAAGAAGACAGAAAACAAATAGCAAAATGGCAGATGTAAATCTTACCTCATCAGTTTAAATGTAAGTGGGTTAAACCCTCGGCCGGGCATGGTGGCTCACGCCTGTAATACCAGCATTTTGGGAGGCCAAGGCAGGCGAATCATGAGGTCAAGAGATTGAGACTATCCTGGCCAACATGGTGAAACCCCGTCTCTACTAAAAATACAAAAATTAGCCGGGCGTGGTGGCGCGCACCTGTAGTCCCAGCTACTCAGGAGTCTGAGGCAGGAGAATCGCTTGAATCCGGGAGGCGGAGGTTGCAGTGAGCGGAGATGGCACCACTGTACTCCAGCCTGGCAACAGAGCGAGACTCCGTCTCAAAAACAAACAAACAAACAAACAACAAACAAACAAACAAACCCTCTAATTATACAGCAGAGACTGACATAATGGATTAAAAAATATGACTCAACTATTTGTTGGCCAGGCACGGTGGCTCACGCCTGTAATCCCAGCACTTTGGGAGGCCAAGGTGGCCAGATCACTTGAGCTCAGGAGTTCGAGACCAGCATGGGCAACATGGTGAAACTCCGTCTCTACTAAAGGTACAAAAATTAACTGGGCATGGTGGCGCATGCCAGTAGTCCCAGCTACTTGGGGGACTGAGGCAGGAGGATCGCTGGAACCCAGGAGGTTGAGGCTGCAGTGAGCTGAGATCACGCCACTGCACTCAAGCCTGGGGGACAAAGTGAGATTCTGTCTAAAAAAAAAAAGAAAAAAGAAAAAGAAAAAGGAAAAACAAAACCTATTTGTTGTTTTCACCAGACATGCTTCAGATTCGAAGACACAAATAGGTTGAAGGTGGGATGGAAAAAAAGCTATGCAAACAGTAACCAAAAGAGAACCGAAGTGGCTGTAGTTTTGCCCTTCCCAGAGTGTGATGTAAGTGGAATCATAAAGTATGTAACCTATTGAGTCTAGGTTCTTTCACTTAGCATAATGCATTTCAGAGTCATCCATGTTGTGGCGTGTCAATCATTTGTCCCTTTTATCTCTGAGCAGTATCCCATCTTGTGGCTCTATTTACCCATTGAAGGACTTTTAGGTTGTCTTGACCATTATGAATAATGCTGCTGTGAACATGTACAGGTTTTTGTGTGAATATACTTTTCATTCTTTAGGATAAATACCTAGAGGTGGGACTGCTGGGTCATGTGATACGTGTATGTGTAACTATAAGATACTGTTCCTGAGTGACTGTATTAGTTTGAATTCCCACAAGCAATTATGAGAGTTCTTGTTGCTCTGTATTCTCATCAGCATTAGGTATCAATAGTATTTTTAATTTTAGTTATCGTAATAGGCATGCAATGATTTCTCATTTTGGTTTTAATTTGCATTTCTCTTAATGACTAATTATGCTAAACGTCTTCTCATGTGCTTATTTGCCATTCATATATATTCTTTGATGTAATGTCTTTACATCTTTTCCCCATTGTTTAACTTTTCTTTTTTTTTTTTTTTGAGACGGAGTTTTGCTCTTGTTGCCCAGGCTGGAGTGCAATGGCGCAATCTTGGCTCACTGCAACCTCCTCCTCCCAGGTTCAAGCAATTCTCCTGCCTCAGCCTCCCAAGTAGCTGGGATTACAGGCATGCACCACCACGCCCGGCTAATTTTGTATTTTTAGTAGAGATGGGGTTTCTCCATGTTGGTCAGGCTGGTCTGGAACTCCCAACCTCACGTGATCTGCCCAACTCGGCCTCCCAAAGTGCTGGGATTACAGGTGTGAGCCACTGCGCCCGGACTTTTTTTTTTTTTTTTTTGAGACAGAGTCTCTGTTGCCCAGGCTGGAGTGCAATGGTGTGATTTCGGCTCACTGCAACCTCCCCCTCCCAGGTTCAAGAGATCCTCCCACCTCAGCCTCCTGAATAGTGGGAACTACAGGCGCGCACCACCATGCCTGGCTAATTTTTATATTTTTTGGTAGAGATGGGATTTCACCATGTTGGCCAGGCTGGTCTCGAACTCCTGACCTCAAGTGATTGGCCCGCCTCAGCCTCCCAAAGTGCTGGGACTACACAGGTGAGCCACCATGCCTGGCCAACTTTTTATTTTGAAATAATTATAGGTTCACAGGAAGTTGTTCACATAGTACAAAGAGATCCATGCGCTTTTGACTGTTACCCCAGTGGGTGACATATAGCTGTAGTACAATATCGTATGGCCCTAATCGTCTTCCTCCCAAATTCATATGTTGTAGTCCTAACCCCAACTTCCTCAGAATGTATGTGGTGATAGGGTCTTTTAAGACGTAATTAAGGTCAAATGAGGTCAAACAGATGGTCCCTCCAATATGACTGGTGTCCTTATAAGAAGAGGAGGTCGGGTGCATTAGCTCATGCCTGTAATCCCAGCACTTTGGGAGGCTGAAGTGGGAGGATTGCTTGAACCATTGCACTCTAGCCTGGGTGACAAAGAGAGGCCCTGTTTCAAAAAAAAAAAAAAAAAAAAAAAAACAAAGGAAATTAGGACACAGATACACACAGAGGGAAGACCACGTGAGGACATAGAGAGAAGATATCCATCTACAAGCCAAGAAGAGAGGCTTCAGGAGGAATAAAATCTGCTGACCTTGGACTTCCAGACTCCAATACTGTGAGGAAATAATTTTTTTTTCCCCCAAGACAGAGTCTTGCTCTGTCACCCAGAGTGGAGTACAGTGGTGCAATTTCGGCTCACTGAAACCTCCGCCTCCCGGGTCCAAGCAATTCTCCTGCCTCAGCCTCCCAAGTAGCTGGAATTACAGGTGCTTGCTACCACACCTGGCTGATTTTTGTGTTTTTAGTAGAGACAGGGTTTCACCATGTTGGCCAGGCTGGTCTCCAACTCCTGACCTCAGGTGATCCACGCTCCTCAGCCTCCCAAAGTGCTGGGATTAGAGGCGTGAGCCACCGCACCTGGCAGAGAAAATAATTTTGTTGGTTTAAGCTACCCAGTCTGTGGTACTTGGTATGGCAGCCCTAGCAAACTAACACAAACATCCAAATGAGAAAACTGACATTGGTACATTACAGTCAACTCGATTACAGACCTCGTTCAGTTTTTGGCATTAAAAAACCCCCCAAAACCCTGTATCCATTTGTGTGCGTGTGGTGTGTGTGTGTTGTGTTTAGTTTTGTAAGATTTTATCCTATGTATAGATTTGTGTAACCACCACCACGATCAAGATATAGAACTGCTCCCTCACCACCAAAGAACTCCCTTATGTTACTTTTTTGTATTTGTGTCCCTGCCTCCCCCATCTCCACTTCTTTCCCTTGCTTACTCCTAATTTGTTCTCTCATTTCTATAGTTTTGTCATTTAGAGAATGTTATAGGAATGGAATAATACAGCATGTAACCTTTTGAGATGGACTGTTTTTTCACTAAGCATAATGCCCTTGACATTCATCAAGGTTGTTGCATGCCTCGATAGTTCATATCTTTGTATTGCAGAATTATATTGCTTTATATGGATGTTCCAGAGCTTGTTCAACCATTCACTCATTAAAGGACATTTGAGTTGTTTCCAGTATTTTGCTATTATAAATAGGGCTAATAGGAACATTCAAGAACAGATTTTTGTATGCACATAAGTTTTCATTTTTCTGGGATAAATGCCCAAGGGTGTGATTGCTGGATCATATAGTAAGTGTATGTGAGTGTCTGTGCCATTTACATTCCCATCAGGAATGTACGAGAGAGCCAGCTTCTCTGCGTACTTGTCACCACTTGGTGTTACCATGACTTGTTATTTTAGCTGTTCATTACGCACCTATTTTAGCTGTTCTAATAGGTGTACAGTGAAATAGTGTGGCTTTAATTTGCATTTCCCTAATGGCTAAGGATGTTGGACATCTTTTCACATGCTTATTTGCCACCTAAATCTCCTCTTTGGAAAAATATCTGTTTATATCTTTTGCCCATTTTATAATTGGATTGTTTTTATTTTTTTTTAACTGCAGAGTTTTTTTAAACTGCCCATTTAAAAAAAATTGGATTGTTTCTTTTCTTATTTTTAAGTTTTGAGAGTTAGATACAAGTGCTTTTTCTGATATATGATTTGTAAATATTTTCTCCCAATCTGTGGTTTGTTTTTTCATTCTCTCTTTCACTTTCTTAAGGAAAAAAAAGAGACTTGTTTTATTTGAGTGATTGGTCTATGTAATTGCTGAGGCCACTGAGTACAGACAAGGAGGGTGGGGGCGCTGTTTTTCTTTGTCTCTTTCTCCTTGGACTGAGCCTTGATGAACCTTCTTGGACGGCAGGTGAATATATTTGTATACTTCCTTGGTCTTAGACCTCAACTTGTGGATGTGTTCCATAAGAATCCGTGTATTTTTGAACATGTTCTCTTTCACCTTCAGGTATAGGCTGTGATACATGTGGTGGCCAGTCTTCTTAGATTCCCAGTATCTTCCGACCAGCTGATGCAGAATTCGCATCCTCCCCATCCAGGGTAACTTCTTTGGCACTCGAGCATTGACAATATCCTTTCACTTACTTACGCCCATATTCCTGCCCTCTTGGCAGGTCAAGGTGTTTTTCCTGCATGAAGCCCAGGAAAGGACAGTCAGGGGCTTGGGATTATCAGCCCATCTTTGATCAGCTTTTGAATCTGCTGGCAGGTGTTGGCATTGGCGATTTCGTTGGTCTTGTTAAGGTCCAGCCAGACCATCTTTTTGCCACAGTGGAGAATCTTAGAGGCAAGTCTCTTCTGAAGCTTGGACATACAGCTGCTGCTGCAGTGACGAAAGGAAACAACTTTATTCTCTTAATAGTGTTTTTTGCAGAGCAGAAGTTTTAAATTTCGAGAAAGTGAAACTTATCCTTTTTTTCCTCTTATAGATGGTGTTTTTGTGTCCTATCTGGAAGCTCTTTGACTAACCAAAGGTCACGAATATTTTCTCCTAAGTCTAAGAGTTTTATAGTTTTACATATTAATTTACGTTTATCATATATTTTGAGTTAATTTATATATATATATGAAATGTAAGTCTAGGTTTTTATTTTTGCATGTGGAAGTCCAGTTGTTCCAGCACCTTTTGTTGAAACGACTGTTCTTTCTTCATTGAATTGTCTTTACATCTTTGTCAAAAATCAGCTGACCATATTTATGTGGGTCTATTTCTAGAATTTTTAGTTTGTTCCATTGGCATTTGTCTTTTTGCCAATATCACAATGCCTTGACTATTGGTAGCTTTATGATACATCTTAGAACCGGGTAGTGTGCACATGCAAAAGAATGCAGCCGGATCCTTTTGTTGCACCGTATCCAAAAATTAATTCGCAATGGATCAAACCCTGCACTGAAGAGCTAACACCATAAAATTCCTAGGAGAAAAAAGCAGTGAAAAATCTTCATGACATTGAATTTGTCAATCATTTCTTGGATATGTCACCAAAGTACAGTCAACAAGAGAAAAAAACATAAGGTGAACTTCATCAAAATTAAAAACTTTTGTGCATCAAAGAAGAGAATGAAACGACAGCCCACAGAATGGCAGAAAATATTTGCAGAAATGTAAATATCCAGAATATGTAAAGAACTTCTACAACTCAACATAAAACAAACAAACAAAAAACCTAATTCAAAAATGGAAAAATGGACAAGGAACTTTTTTTTTTTTTTGAGACGGAGTCTTGCTCTGTCGCCCAGGCTGGAGTGCGGTGGCGCCATCTCGGCTCACTGCAAGCTCCGCCTCCCGGGTTCAGGCCATTCTCCTGCCTCAGCCCTGGGACTACAGGCGCCCGCCACCACGCCCAGCTAATTTTTTTTGTATTTTTAGTAGAGACGGGGTTTCACCGTGTTAGCCAGGATGGTCTCGATCTCCTGACCTCATGATCTGCCCGCCTCGGCCTCCCAAAGCGCTGAGATGACAGGCGTGAGCCACCGCGCCCGGCCTGGACAAGGAACTTTAATAAACATTTCTTCAAAGACGATACGCGAATGCCCAATAAGCACATGAAAAAATGCTCAACATCATTAGTCATTAGGGAAATACAAATGGAAACGAGATACCACTTTACACCCTAAATTAGAATAACTACTATCAATAAAATTAACAATAAAAAGTGTTGGTGGGCTGGGCACGGTGGCTCATGCCTGTAATTTCAGCACTTTGGGAGGCCCAGCCAGGTGGATCACTTGAGGCCAGGAGTTTGAGACCAGCCTGGCGGACATGGTGAAACCTCATCTCTACCAAAACTACAAAAATTAGCTGGGCGTGGGGGCGCTTGCCTGTAGCCTCAGCTACTCAGGAGGCTGAGGCATGAGAATTCCTTGAACCCAGGAGGCGGAGGTTGCAGCGAGCTGAGATGGTGCCACTGCATTCAAGCCTGGACAACAGAGCGAGACTGTCTCAAAACAAAACAAAACAAACAAACAAAAAGGTGTTGGTGATGTGGAGAAATCAAAACGTTTGTGCATTGCTAGAATGTAAAACATTGCGTCTGTGGTGGGAAACAGTTCAGTGATTCCTCAAAAAGTTAAACACAGAATTACAATATGACCCAGCAATTTCACTTCTCAATATTCTTCCAAAGAATTGAAAGCAGTGACTCAAAGAGATACTCGTACACCAAGTGTTCACAGCAGCATTATTCACAATATCCAAAAGGTGAAAACAACCCATGTGTTCAAACAGATGAATGAATACACAAAATGTGGTATACACACAAAATAGAATATTACTCAGCCATAAAAAGGAATAAAATTCTGACACAAGCAGCTACAGCAAGGATGAACTTTGCAAATATTATGCTAAGAGAAATAAGCCAGACACAAAAGGACAAATATATGATTCCGCTTATATGAAGTAACTGGAATAGGCAAATTCATAGACACAGAAAGTAGAATAGAGGTTACCAGGGACTTGGGGGAGGGAGTGAGGAGTTAATGTCCAGTGGGTACAGGGTTTCTGTTTGGAATGATGAACAAGTTCTGGAAATAGATAGTAATGCTGGCTACACAACCTTGTGAATGTATTTAATGCCACTGAATTTGAATTATACACTTAAAAATGGCTGAGAGCTGGGTGTGGTGGCAGAAGCCTGTGTTCCCGGCTACTCAGGAAGCTGAGCTAGGAGGATCACTCTAGCCCGGGAGTTCGAATCTAGCCTTGGCAACATAGTGAGACTCCATTTCTTTAAAAAAAAAAAAAAAAAGCTAAATGGTAAATTTCATCTTATCCATGCTTTACCACAATAAAACAATCTGGGAGGCCGGGTCCAGTGCCTCACGCCTGTAATCCCAGCACTTTGGGAGGCTGAAGCGGGTGGATCACCTGAGGTCAGGAGTTCGAGACCAGCCTGGCCAACATGGCGAAACCCTGTCTCTACCAAAAATACAAAAATTAGCTGGGCGTGGTGGCGTGCACCTGTAATCCTAGCTACTTGGGAGGCTGAGGCAGGAGAATCACTTGAACCTGGGAGGCAGAGGTTGTGGTGAGCTGAGATTGCACCATTGCACTCCAACCGGGGCAACAGAGCAAGACTTCGTCTCAAAAACAAACAAACAACAAACATCAATCTGGGAAACACACACACATACACATACAAATGGGTAGTGTGAATCCTATGCCTTTTTCTTTTCAAACTTGTTTTGGCTATTACCGTCTTCTTACCTTTCCATACACAGTTTAGATTTACCTTGTCTATCTCCAAAGAATTTTGCTAGGATTTTGATTGGAATTGCATTAAATCTGTGGGTCAATCTGGGGACAATTGGCATCTTAACTATAATGTAAGGCTGGGTGTGGTGGCTCACGCCTGTAATCCAGGACTTTGGGAGGCTGAGGCGGGCAGATCACGAGGTCAGGAGTTCGAGACCAGCCTGGCCAACACAGTGAAGCCCCGTCTCTACTAAAAATACAAAAATTAGCTAGGCATGGTGGCAAGCACCTGTAGTCCCAGCTACTTGGGAAGCTGAGGCAGGAGAATCGCTTGAGCCTGGGAGGCAGGATTGTGGTGAGCCAAGATCGCGCCACTGTACTCTAACCTGGGCCACAGAGCAAGACTCTGTCTCAAAAAAAACAAAAACAACAACAACAACAACAAAACAAAACTATACTGTACTTCCCAATCCTTGAACACTGTGTGTTTATTCGCTTATTAGGTCTTCTTCTAGCTCTTTCATTGGCGTTTTGTAGTTTCCAGCATACAGATCCTGCACATCTTATGTTAGATTTATATTGAAGTATTTCATTTTTCGAGCTCTTATCAATGGTATTTTTATGGGCTGAATTATTTCACCCCAATTCATATACTGAAGTCCTAACCCCCAAGACTTCAGATTGTGACTGTATTTGGAGACAGAACCTTAAAGAAGTAATTAAGTTCACATGGGTGGGCCCTAATCCAGTATGACTAGTGTCCCTTTAAGAAGAGAGAGAGGCTGGCGTGGTGGCTTACACCTGTAATCCCAGCACTTTGGGAGGCCAAGGTGGGCGGAGCTGTTGAGGTCAGGAGTTTGAGACCAGCCTGGCTAACATGGCGAAACCCCATCTTTACTAAAAATACAAAAATTAGCCAGGGGTGGTGGCACGAGTCTGTAATTCCAGCTACTCAGGAGGCTGAGGCAGGCGAATCGCTTGAACGAGGGAGGTGGAGGTTTCAGTGAGCCGAGATTGCACCACTGCATTCCAGCCTGGGCAACTGAGTGAGACTGTCTCAAAAAAAAAAAAAAAAAAAGAGAGGAGAGAGACACAAGAGTTTTCTCTGTCCACCATGTGAAGACATAGGGAGAAGGTAGGCACCTGTAGGGCCAGGAGAGAGGCTTTAAGAGAAACCAAATCAGCTGATACTTCGATCTTTGACTTCCACCCTCTAGAACTGTGAGAAAATAAATCTCTGTCGTTTTAGCCACTTGGTCTGTGGTACTTTTTAATGTCAGTCCTAGCAAACAAATGCAGGTGTTATTTTTTAAATTTGATTTTTAATTGTTCCTTGCTAATATATTGAAATGTAGTTGATTTTTGTATATTGATCTCAAATCTTGTGATCTTGATAAACTTGAATATTAGTTAGAAGCTTTATTTTTTTTTTTTTTGACAGCTGTCTCACTCTATTGCCCAGGCTGTGTGCTGCAGTGGTGCGATCCAGCTTACTGCAGCTTCAGACTCCTGGGCTCAAGTGATCCTCCTGCCTCAGCTTCCCAAGTAGCTGGGACCACAGGCACACACCACTATGTCTGGCCATTTTAAACATTTTTTGTAGAGATGGAGTCTCCCTGTGTTGCTCAGGCTGGTCTCGAACTTCTGGCCTCAGGCAGTTCTCCTGTCTTGGCCTCCCAAAGTGCTGGGATTACACGTGTGAGGCACCATGCTTGGCCGTGGAGCTGTTTTTTTCCAAATATATACATATATATATTCCTTAGGATTTTATGCACAGATGATTATATCATTTGTGAGTGGGAATAATTTTATTTTTTCCTTTCAATATTAAGACTTTTGTTTATTTTTCTTGCCTTATCACACTTGCTAGGGCTTCTAGTACTATATTAAATGAAAGTTAAGAAACAATGGCTGAAAACTGCTCAAATTTTGTGAAAGCCATATATTTTCAGATCAAAGAAGCACAAACAAAAGTGGTAAGACTGGGCATCCTTGCCTACTTCCTGATTTTAGGGCAAAAACATTCAGTTTAGGGTTAGCTGTTAGGTTTTCATAGATACCCTTTATCATGTTGTAGAGGTTTTCTTCTCATCCTAGCTGGCTGAGAATTTTTATAGCAGATGTTAGGTTTGTCAAATGCTTTTTCTGCATCTTTTGAGGTGACCGTATATTTTCTCTCTTTCAGTTTGTTACGGTGGTGGATTTTATATTAGAGTTCCATCCCAATTAGAAAAGAAGATCAGAAACAGTCCTCATTCACATAAATATTTACTCAGTGTTTTGCCCTAGGGCTATGTTAATTTTCCTGGTCTGTATCATAATATAGTTTGAAGGTCTCTGTACTATCCATATGTCATGCAGACACTGCAGTGATCCTTTATGTTACTGACGTCATGCAGGCGGGCAGGATGAGCACAACATGGCTAGCACACTGGAGGCCTTGGTGAGACACATGCAATCCAGATGGTAGGAGATAAACTCTGGGAGGGTTCAGGGACCTGCCATTTTGGTCAAGTTTTACGGGGTCTGTTGGCCAAGGGCATGCCAGGATAGCTCCTCCAAAGTTAGAGACTAATTGCTGTATTTTGTATCCCCTGCCACAAAGAAGGAAGCACAGCACTTGGTGGCCTCTGGATTCTGGAAACAACACATTTCTCACCCAGGAATACTGCTTCAGCTAATACATCAGGTGACACGAAGGCTGTCGGCTTTGGGGGAGGGGCAAGTGCTCCTGTATGTTTATCTTAATTATTGTCGTTAAGGAATAAATATTAACATAACACTTTTTTTGGGGGGGGGGCTTGAGGAAGAGACACCTTTTTCTAATTTGTACAGACATCATATGTACTATGCTTGACATGAAACCTATTTAATTTCCATGGAGAGGAAGACAAAGGTGGTTTCAGCCTCTGCGAGAAAGTTCCAAGCTCAATGCCCCCATGTTTGTGAAGCAGTATGGAGGCAACAAAGAGCACAGGCTTGGCAGGATGCAGTGGCTCACGCCTCTACTCTCAGCACTTTGGGAGGCCAAGGTGGGTGGATCACCTGAGGTTAGGAGTTTGAAACCAGCCTGGCCAAGATAGTAAAACCCCGTCTCTACTAAAAATACAAAAATTAGTCGGGCATGGTGGCACATGTCTATAATCGCTTGAACCTGGGAGGCAGAGGTTGCAGTGAGCCGAGATCGCGCCACTGCACTCCAGCTTGGAAGACAGAGTGAGACCCTGTATCAGAAAAAAACAAAACAAAACAAAACAAAGCAAAGCACAGGTTCAAAATTTAATTTAAAACTATCACTTACTAAAATCTGCATGTGAGGAGAAGAATTGGGGGAGTACACTCAATATAGTGACCCAACCCCTGAGACAACTTAGAACTTTAAGTTACAAATGTTCTTTTAATTACAGCTTTATTAGAAACACAGCTATATGAAATATAGATACCTCTGATGGCTTAGGTTACTTATTAGGTTACTAATACGAGCTTCAAAAAGTGTTTCAGGGCTGGGCGCAGTGGCTCATGTCTGTAATCCCAAACTTTGGGAGGTCAAGGAAGGAGGATTGCTTGAGGCCAGGAATTCAAGATCAGCTTGGGCAGCATAGCGAGACTGCATCTCTACAAAAAATTAAAAAATTAGCTGGGCGTGATGGCACGTGCCTGTGGTCCCAGCTACTCAGGAGGCTGAGCAGGAGGGTTGTTTGAGCCCAAGGGTTCAAGGTTATAGTAAGTTATTGTCGTGCCACTACACTCCGGCCTGGGAGACAGAGTGAGAATGTGTCTTAAAAAAAAAAAAAAAAAAACAGAGGCCAGGCAGGGTGGCTCAGGCCTGTAATCCCAGCACTTTGGGAGGCCGAGGTGAGCAGATCATGAGGTCAAAGCTCGAGACCATCCTGGCCAACACGGTGAAACCCCGTCTCTACTAAAAATACAAAAATTAGCTGGGCGTGGTGGCACGTGCCTATAGTCCCAGCTACTCGGGAGGCTGAGCAGGAGAATTGCTTGAACCTGGGAGGCAGAGGTTGTGGTGAGCTGAGATCGCACCACTGCACTCCAGCCTGGTGATAGAGCGAGACTCTGTCTCAAAACAAAAACAAAAAAACAAAACAGAACAAACCCCCCCCCAAAAAAAATGAAAACAGTGTTTCAGTGGCTGAAGGCCCTTATGACATGAGTGATAAGTGGCAAATTTTCAGCCACTATTTCTTCCAGTATTTTTCTTCTTTTCTTTCTTTTTCTTTTCCTTTTTTTGAGATAGGGTCTCATTCTATTGCCCAGGCTGGAGTACAACAGTGCAATCTCAGCTCACTGCAACCTCTGCCTCCCACACTCAAACCATCCTCCCACCTTAGCCTCCTGAGTAGCTGGGACTAAGATGTATGCCACCACATGTGGCTAATTTTTGTATTTTTTGTAGAGGCAAGGTTTCACCATGTTGCCCAGGCTGGTCTCAAACTCCTGAGCTCACACAATCCTCCTGCCTCAGTTTCCCAAAGTGCTGGGATTACAGGCATGAGCCACCACACCCAGCCCTGCTCTCCTTCCGGAACTCCAGTGACACTAATATTAGCTCTTTCGTTATAGCTCCACAGTCTCTAGAGGTTCTCTTTATCTTTTTTTTTTTTTCAGTTTCTCTTCTCTCTTTACAGATTTGGCCATTTCTATTATTCTGTCATTGAGTTTATGGATTTTTTCCTTTGTACCTTCCATTTTGTTGTTGAGCCCATCCACTGAATTTTAAAATTTTAGTGATTCTGTTTTGTCAGTTTCAGTGTTTCCATTTGGCTCTTGTTATCATCTACTTTTTCAGAGACTTTCTATTTCTTTGCTGAGGCAATTTTTTCATTTATTTTAAGCATATTCTTAGTTGTTTGTTGAAGTATCTTGATCATGACTACTTTAATATCTTCATCGGTTAATTCTAGCATCTTGGTGTTACATCCAATAGATGGCCTTTCTTTATTTGGTTTGAGATCTTCCTGGTTCCTGGCATGACAAGTGATTTTTGGTTGAAACTTGGCCTTTTTTCTTTTTTTTTTGAGATGGAGTTTCGCTCTTGTTGCCCAGGCTGGAGTGCAATGGCGCCATCTCGGCTCACCAAAACCTCCACCTCCTGGGTTCAAGTGATTCTTCTGCCTCTGCCTCCCAAGTAGCTGGGATTACAGGCATGAGTCACCACGCCCAGCTATTTTTGTATTTTTGGTAGAGACGGGGTTTCTCCATGTTGGTCAGGCTGGTCTCGAACTCCCAACCTCAGGTGATCCGCCCGCCTCGGCCTCCCAAAGTGCTGGGATTACAGGCATGAGTCACTGCGCCCGGCCTGAAATTTGGACCTTTTTGTATTGTGTTACCAGACTCTGGATCTTATTTAAACTTTATGTTTTAGCCAGGCGTGGTGGTGCATGCCTGTAGTCCCAGCTACTTGGGATGCTGAGTGGAGAGGATTGCTTGAGCCCAGGAGTTCAAGGCTGCAGCGAGTTGTGATCATGCCACTGCACTCCAGCTTGGATGACAGAGCAAGACCCTGTCTCTTTAAAAATAAAATTGAAAAATATGAATAGATAAATATAAACTTTATGTTTTAGCTGACTTTTTTCTGACACCTATCTGTCTGGCAGGGCAAGGCAGGGTCGGGAGGGGTGAGGTCGGGTCTTCCCTGCCAGGTGGGAGTAAAAAATGACCTATATTGACACCTGTAGGGGGCAGGTGCTCCTTTTTACTGATGGGCAAAGGTGGGAAGTCTGACTCCAGTTGTGATCTCCACTGACACCACCGCTGGAGGGCGAAGAGGCAGGGTAGGTGGTCTAATAAATTGCTCTGGGCCATGGCGAAAATCCTGACTCTCCACAAGGCTTCCTGTGACACATCTCAGCAGGAAGCGGGAGAGGCGCCTCTTTACTGGGGAGTACAGGCCGGAAATCCAGGTTCTTCACGTGGTTCCCAGCGTGGTGGTGGTGCTAGTGATACCGTGGAGCACGGAGGAGGCCCCTTTGCTGGCTGACACAGATGGATGGCTCAACTCTCTGCCCGGTCTTCACTGGCACTGCTCTGGTGATGGTCGTTGGGGAACCTCACTGCAGCCTTGGGAGGGTGGAATTTAGGCTCCCCACTGCGCCTTTGCTGTGCGGATGTAGGTGGGGTCTCAGTTTATTCTGTGGGGCTTGGCTGAAGTAAAGTGGTTTTTGTGTCTCGGTTTCAGCCTTACTAGGTTGCTGTTCACTTGGTCCTTTGGCTAGAGGAGCAGGTTTTTATTGGAGCTTTTTTTTATTTTTTGGCATGCCATGGCATTGCTGTGTTGCCAGTTTCTTAAGTTCCAAATCTAGGATATGTGGAACAGAAAGAAAACCCAGGGGATTCTCTGCCATGTCTTTCCTGGGGTGCAGAGGCCTCTAAATCATCTGCCTCTTTTTCTCCCCCATTCAGAACCCTTTTCTCCCCCCAGAATCTGTTTATGCTTGTTTTATATATAATGTCCAGGGTTTTATTTTTCATTTTTATTTATTTATTTTTTTAAGCAACAAGGTCTCGCTGTTGCTCAGGCTGGAGTGCAGTGGTGCTACTATAACCTCAAACTCTTGGCCTCAAGCCATCCTCCAGCCTCAGTCCCGAGTAGCTGGGACTACAGGTGCGCACTACTGCGCCTGGCTAATTTTTCTTTTGTAGAGTCAGGTGGTCTCACTATGTTGCACTGGCTGGTCTCGAACTCCTGGCTTCAAGTGATCCTCCTACTTGGGCCTCCCAAAGTGTTGGGATTACAGGCGTGAGCCATCCAGGGTTTTAAATTAGACTTAGCAGAAGAAATGGCAAACCTACATCATTCCATCTTCTGGGAAGTCTCTACTTTTCTTGTTTTGTTTGTCTTTGGAGCATGAGGTGCTTTTCACACGTTTTCTTTTCTCTTCAGCTTCCTCCACCTCCTGTCATATTTCCAGTGGGGTGCCTCTTTCTGGGGCTCACCCTCCCAGAGGACACTGCTGTCCTTCCTCTCTGGGCACTGGATTGAGTCCCTTGGACTTCCCTTCGCCACTTTGTTCTAATTTCTGTGAGCTTCCCCTACTTAGTCAGTAGTGTCCCTATTGCCTAAGGGAAATTAGTGTTGCTGCCGGGCATTGCAGAGGGAGAAACAGAGCAGACTCAGAGTTTTTGTTTTGTTTGGGAAACAGACTCCTTTTTTTTGTTTTTGTTTGTGTTTTGTTTTGTTTTGTTTTGTTTTGGAGACAGAGTCTTGCTCTGTCACCGAGGCTGGAGTGCAGTGGCGTGATCTCGACTCACTGCAACCTCCGCCTACCGGGTTCAAGCAGTTCTCCTGCCTCAGCCTCCCAAGTAGGTGGGATTACAGGCACGCCCCACCCCGCCCGGCTAATAGTTTTTTATTTTTAGTAGAGATGGGGTTTCACCATGTTGGCCAGGCTGGTTTCCAACTCCTGACCTCAAGTGATCAGCCCGCCTCGGCCTCCCAAAGTGATGGGATTATAGGCATGAGCCACCGCACCTGGCCTGGAAACAGACTCTTGAGTATGAAAATGGAAGGCCACAGGGAAGCAGGAGCAGATGCCAAGGCGATATCTTGGAAAGAGACTAGAGCAACAGCAAGACTGCCAGCCCTCACCCTACCTTAGGGACTGGCTCAGCGTCACTGATCTGGGAGGTAGAAGAGAAGGGAAATGGGGTTCAGCCTGGGTAGGGGGTAGGTGGGAGGACAGGCAGAAGAGCGAGTCAGCTTTTAGAGACATCCAAGGCAATGATGGGTGTCCCGAGCCAGCAGAGCTGATGTGGACAGCACCTATGGCCCTCCCAAGCAGTGACTATGATTGAGTCAACTGCGTGCTTGCTGTGTGTGTCCACCTCTGCTGCACAGCTCTGTTGAGCATCACCTGATCTCCCTGAGTGGATTCCTGCCCTTTGTTTGTCAATGGCCCAGGACATTCCCTATAAGCCCTACTTGAAACAGAAGGGGAGTCCTTGCCACCCAAGAAGTAGGGCTGGTATAAAGACGGGCGTCGCTCCTGGTCTCGGATTTACTAGGTAGAGGGGTGCAGTGGAGGCTCTTAGAGTTCCACCAGATCCTTACCAGCCAGTGTGCTCATCCCCAACTGGGGTGAGTGTTGGCTGCTGACAGCTCACAGCTGCCCCCTTCTCCCAAGTATTGTCCTTGGCCAAATGGGAGCTGCTTTGCCCAGGAGGTTTCACTCTCCACTCTCCTCTGGCAGCCTCCAACCAGTGGCTGACAGGCTCAGGGATATTAGAGGCATCTCCTTGTCATGGCAGGGTCCAACTGAGGTGCCCTTCATGCTTAGGCTCCGCGTGGGACTGTGCTAGCCTCCTGCAGAGACTTGCCCAGCTCTTTCCCCTACCCTGTTCTGCTTTCTTCTCTCCTTTTTGTCCAGAGAGCCCTTTCATGTGCACACAAATCCCCATTTCAGGCTCTGCGTCCAGGGAACCCCCGCTAAAATAATGGGCTGATGGTATGGGCTGAACAAATTGTGGATCTGGCTGGACACAGTGGCTCACATCTGTAATCTCAGCACTTTGGGAGGCAGAGGTAGGAGGATTGCTTGAGGGCAGGAGTTCAAGACTATCCTGGGCAACATAGTGAGACCCCTGTCTCTACAAAAAATAGAAAAATTAGTCGGGTATGGTGGCACATGCCTGTAGTCCCAGCTACTCAGGAGGCTGAGGTAGGATTGCTTGAGCTCAGGAGGTCGAGGCGGCAGTGAGCTGAGACAGTGCCACTGTACTCCAACCTGGGCAACAGAACAAGACCCTGTCTCAAAAAAAAAAAAATTAAACTCTGGCTCTAACAGCAACGTAGCCCCATCCCACCGGGCTGTGTTAAGGGAAGAAGAGGTCTTGCCAGAGCTCTTTCTCCTCCCCTGGCAGCTCCTGCTTTATGCCCACACCCACACAGGCACACACTCCTCCCCGCACCCCCTCCCCACCATGTCTTCTCCTGCACAGCTGCTTCCCAGAGGAAGTGGGTTGAGGAATTCTGTCAACCTTCACACTTGATGATAGCCTTTTACACTTTCAGTTGAGACCAAAAGAGATGCTGCCCCGTCCTCACTCAACAAGGGACAGAGAGATGCCCAGAAGTCTCTCGGTACCTGCTCCTGGCCCCACCTGACTCTGTAGGGCTCTGTGTTGTGGAACCTGCAGGGGCACCATGGACAGACCTGCCAGGTTTGGGCCTGCTCAGCCACTCGACCACATTCCACCGGCAGCCACAGTTTGTCTTGGCAAGGTCAGCCTCCAGGCCCAGCTCCAGGAAGGCCCTGGGGAGCAGCCCAGACAAACCAGCTTTCACCACAGAAGCCAGCGCTGGCTGGGCTTGAGGCAGTGCCAGCCTGAGAGTGGCTGGAGCCTCCCCCACCCACCTAAAGGTGAACTCAGTTCTGGGTGAGCGGGTGGGTGCGTGGAGGGGGCAGGCTCCTACATGGGTGGAACCCCCAGAGAGGCAGCAGGGGCAGGAGCCAAGCCAGAGGGTTTTTCTGCCCTACACGAATCAGCCCTTCAGGAACTGGACTCATGGGATGACTGCCCGGAGCTGCGGCAGCCTAGCCCGAGCCTCCTCCTCACACCCCACCAGATGAGGGTGCATCAGGGCAGCGCTCGCTCCCAGGCTGGCAGGGGAGGGGCAGGAGAGGCTTTGGAGAATGAAGATGCTGGGATGCTGAGCCCCAGGGAACAGCAAATCTGCTACTGGACGGCCAGCTTTCCTTCCCCCATAAACACTTGGCGCCTTCTCTCTCAAGGAATAAAATACTCAAAAAGGAATGTATACAAATAAAACCGTCTTGTTGCTGTTCCTGCCCTGCTAGGCAGCCTCTCCTGCATCTTTAGAGCCATGAATTCTCTTCCGTTCTGTCTCCAGTGGGGGTCTCTGAGACCCTCCTACCCATTCTGCTTGGCAGTCTCTGCAGCTTCAAACCCAGGACCTCCCACCCTCCTGAGGCTGCCACTCTGTGACCCCCTGCCAAGGTGAGGCAAGGAGGGAAGCTTTGAGTATCTTCACCTTTGGAAGTGAGTGGTCAGGGGCTCCTGAACAGAGGACTCACGAGGACTGTTCTGGATTTCCAACAGAGGGGACCCAGAGCTAAGGAGCCCAGCTGGGTTTGAATCTTAATGGTTAGAATAGAATGGTAAAAGATGGGTTAGAGTCAAAGTAGAATGACTTAGTGAGAGATTAATTTGTGTTTGTTCTTGTGTTTTTCCCTCCACTGCTCCTAGAAGGTAGCCAAAGCCAGTGTAGCAGTGTGAGGTACCGAGGTGGTCTGCAGAAAGCCTAGCTCCTCCAGGAGAAGCGGGTAAGGGCGAGGGCCAGTGAGTGCCTTCTTAGAGAGTAGTGCAGAGAGAGAAAGAGAAAATGGGCTCTGTGTTAATAATTGGTATACCCTGTATAAAGAATAAGGCCAGGCATGGTGGCTCATGCCTGTAATCCCAGCACTTTCGGAGGCCAAGGAGAGCAGATCACTTGAGGTCAGGGGTTCCAGACCAGCCTGGCCAACATGGTGAAAGCTCATCTGTACTAAAAATACAAAAATTAGCCAGGCATGGTGGTGTGAGCCTGTAATCCCAGCTACTTAGGAGGCTGAGGCGAGAGAATCACTTGAACCAGGGAGGGGAGGTTGCAGTGAGCTGAGATCGTGCCATTGCACTCAAAAAAAAAAAAAAAAGAATATATGGCCATTTACAATTAAACATACAATTAGCTAAAGCAGTGGCTTAAAATTAGACATGTAATTAATATAATTCAGCACATTAACGAAATAATGGAGAAAGTAATTTGATTACTTAATACATGAAGAAAAATATTTCACAAATTTTGGCATCTATTTATAATTTTTAAACATTTTTAGAAAATTAGGAATAGAAGGATATCTATAAACCAAATACGATGCTTAATGATGGAATATTAAAAGTTTGCCCTCCAGAATCAGGAGCAAAACAAAGATGTCCACTCTCACTACTTCTATTCAACATTGTATTGGAGGTTGCAGCCAGTGCATTTAAGCAAGAAAAATAAGTAAAAATAAAAAAGTAAGGACTGCAAGTGAAGAAATGAAACTGTCCTTTTTTTGCAGATGACATAACTATGTAGCTAAGAAAATTCAAGATAATCTAAGGATAAGTGGCTAAGCAAGATTGCTGGATACAAGGTAATTATACAAAAATCCATTGTTTCTATATATTCACAACAAATAAAATTAAGAAAATGATACTATTTATAATATCACAAAATAATCAAATAGAAATAAATGAAATAGGTGCAAAACTTTCATACAGAAGTCTATAAAACATTATTAAGAGAAGTCTTAAAAGATCTAAATAAATGGAGGGATATACAATATTCATAGATTGAAACACACAATATTTTAAAGACATCAATTCTCCATTAATTAGTCTGTAAATTTAATGTAATCCCAATGAAAATCCAGCAGGTTTTTTTGTGTTTTTTTTTGGGAGATGGAGTCTTGCTCTGTTGCCCAGGCTATAGTGCAGTGGTGTGATCTTGGCTCACTGCAACCTCTGCCTCTAGGGTTCAAGAAATTCTCCTGCCTCAGCCTCCTGAGTAGCTGGGACTACAGGCGCATGCCACCATGCCTGGCTAATTTTTTGCATTTTAGTAGAGATGGGGTTTCACTGTGTTGCCCAGGCTGGTCTTGAACTCCTGAGCTCAGGCAATCTGCCTGCCAGTTTAAAAAATAGAAATTAATAAACTGAGTATAAAATTTGTATTGAAATGAAAAGGACCACATGTAGCCAACATAATTGTGAAGAACTAAGTTGAACAGGCCGGGTGTAGTGGTTCAAGCCTGTAATACGAGCACTTTGGGAGGCTAAGGCAGGAGGATCACTTCAGGCCAGAAGTTCAAGACCAGCCTGGGTAACATAGTGAGGCCCTATTTCTATAAAAAAATAAAAATAAAAATAAAAAAATTTGAAAGGAAGAATTAAATTGGATGACTTGCCATACATACTACATAGCAAAACATACTATAAATCTAAAGTTATTAAGATAATGTGGCACGGGTATAAGGCTAGATAAAAAGACAAATGGATCAGAATAGAGAATCCAGGACAGACACATACATATATGAACATTTGATTTATAACAAAGATTTCACTTCAATGAAGTGGGGGAAAATATACTCATTTCAGTAAATGGTGCTGGGCCAATTGGCTAACCATATGAAAAAAAATTAAATTTGATCTCTAGCTTACACTGTACACAAAAATAAATTTTAGTTGGATTGTGGACCTAAATATAAAAGCCACAAACAAGAAAAATTCTAAAATATCTTCTTGACTTTGGTGTAAGTGAAGATTTTAAAATTTATTTTATTTTAATTTCATTTAATTAATCAATTAATTTTTTTGAGATGGGGTCTCATTCTGTTGCCCAGGCTATGGCGTGATCTCAGCTTACTGCAACCTCTGCCTCCTGGGTTCAAGTGATTCTCTTGCCTCAGCCTCCTGAGTAGCTGGGACTACGGGCATGCGCCACCATGCCCGACTAATTTTTGTATTTTTAGCAGAGACGGGGTAGACGGGGTTTCATTATGTTGGCCAGGCTGGTCTTGAACTCCTGACCTCAGGTGATCCGCCCACCTTGGCCTCCCAGAGTGCTAGGATTACAGGTGTGAGCCACCGCACCTGGCAGAAGATTTGTTTAAAAGCACACAAAAGGGGAGGTGAAGCGTGAAGCAAAATAATACATAAATTAAAAGCATACGAGAAACGCTAATCATAAAGAAAAGATTAATAACTTAGACTACATTCAATTAAGACATTCTGGTTATCAAAAATCTAATGGCCGGGTGTGTGGCTCACAACTATAATCCCAGCACTTTGGGAGGCTGAGGCAGGTGGATTATTTGAGCCCAGGAGTTTGAGACCAACCTGGGCAACATGGAGAAACTTGTCTCTACAAAACACACACCCAAAAATTAGCCTAGCGTGGTGGTACGTGACTGTGGTCCCAGCTACTCTGGGGGCTGAAGCGGGAGGATCACTTGAGCCAGGAGGCTGAGGCTGCAGTGAGCTGTGATTGTGCCACTGCGCTCCAGCCTAGGTGACAGAGCAAGACCCTGTCTCAAAAAAAAAAAAAAAAAAAAAGAAAAGAAAAGAAAAAGAAAATCTCATAATGAAGGCAGGCGTGGTGGCTTACGCCTGTAATACCAGCACTGTGGGAGTCTGAGGCAGGAGGATCACTTGAACCCAGGAGTTTGAGACCAGTCTGGGCAATATAGTGAGACCTCCATCTCTTACCCCCTAAAAAATTAGCTGGGTGTGGTACCTGTAGTCCCAACTACTCAAGTGGCTGAGGCAGGAGGGTTGCTTGAACCCAGGAGTGAGCTATGATTGTGCCATTGCACTCCAGCCTGGGTGACAGAGTGAAACCCTGACACACACACACACACACACACACACACACCTCTTAGTAAGAGTGAAGAGAAGGGGAGCATGGGAGAAGTGATAAGAGGATGCTAGGTCCATATTTGTGGTCGATGCCTCGCCCCCATCAGGACTCTCACAGTGAAGGTCTTCTTGTGAACGGCCAACTTCTAGGCTGGTGGCTCCAAGGAGGTGACCCATTCCCTTCCATCACCCAGTGAGTGTTGTTACTACCACTGAGGTGGTAGCAGAGGAGGGAGCTGTGGACAGGGTGGGGAAGGCGGCTGGCCCAGGATAAGCAGTTAAGAGCTTTGGGAAATCACTAACCATGAAGACCTAGTCTCTCCTCGGGTAGAAAGACACTGTGAACTGTGAACTTTTTCCTATTTGGAAAAGTTCTCCTAGAGAAGTGAAAAGAGACTTTAGGGTCCATTTGAACCATTTCAAATATGTCCAGTGCTTGCTTCATTCCAAAGTTGGTCACATGGGTAGAAAAACAGACCTTGGATATCACTCTGGCAAAAAGCTTCTAGTCTATCTTCAGGGGCGTAAAGATTTATTGCTTTAGGTTTCACAGTTCCATCCACAATCCACCTGAAATTGATTTTTGTGTATGGTGTGAGGTAGAGGCCAAATGTAATTTTTGCATATGGCTATCCAATTAACCCAACACCATTTTCTTTTTTGAGAGATGGGGGTCTCACTTGTTGCCCAGGCTGGCCTCAAACCCCTGGGCTCAAGCAATCCTCCTGCCTCAGCCTCCCAAATAGCTGCCTGGGCTCTAACGTCATATTTTTAAAAGACCATCCTTTCCACACTGCGCAGCAGTTTCCATTTCTCTAGGGGATTTTTCTTTTTGGAAGAAGTTAAAAGGCTCTGCCAATATGGGGAGGGGGCAGGGAGAATGCTATTTTGCAGAATAGTCAGCAGAGGGCTGGTCAAAGCTGCTGCCTGGCTTCTCTTGAGCCAGTGAGACCTGTCTATAGCGGGTCCTGTCTGAGCCAAAATGTAGCCCCAGAAGCTCTCTGGTCCCCAGGGTCAGATGCAAAGTGTAGCAGCCTGGTTCTGCTGGGAAAAATTTGTAAGAGGAAAGCAGAGGACTTACTGGAGATGCACTCTCTCTGAACGGTGAGCAGCCAAGCGTCTGGTGCCCTTTCTATTCCCACCCCCATTAGAAGCCTGGGGGTGGGCTGACGCTGAGAGGGACCCCTTTGTCACCTGGCATCTTGGTACTTCAACAAGAAATAGCCTGGGCAGTTTTTGTCACCTGGTGCCAGGTAGAGGTGGGATCTGCAGATATAGGAAAAATCCATGCCTACTCCAAACTTACTTTAAGTAGAAAAAACCATCTTCCCCTGGATGACTGCCAGGGACCACCTCCAGGTATGTGCCCCACCCACATCCCCTCATCTGTACCTCCTCTGTGTACTCCTGTCTGATTCCAACTGTCAGCTCCTGCTTCTCTTTGTCTGAGTGTTTTCTCTAGCTACTGGGACTGTTTTACCACCTGTGGGGAAGACTGGAGGTGCCAGAAAGCTAGTGCTGCCCTCCCACTCCATCCAGAAGCCCTAACCACTGACTGATGAGAATTAGTGTATAAGTACCCCAGCTGCCTCACTCCTCAGGTGCGAAATTCCTGAGGTATGCATTTTATAGCCTCCCAGAGCTCCCAGCTGGGATTAAGCTTCAGAAAAACCCACAGTAGTAGCGTGCTCAGTAGCACTCTGTATTGGGCTTCCTTCTTTCTGCTGCCTCCCCTCCCTGCTCCCCTGACCGGTGCGTTCTGCAATTGTTGCCCAAATAAACCATCTGGACCCACCTCCTGTCCCAAGGTCTGCTGCTGGGGGAACTGAAATGAAGACAACTTCCATTCCAGGCGAATGATCCCACCCTGACCAATATTCACATAGGAATTGGAGCTAAGGTTAGGATTTTCATCACTTGCCTGGGATATCCAGGCTCTGTAGGGATGAATGCCAATGAGCCAATCAATTCTACTTGTGTGCAAGGCCTCAGGACTGAGCTAAACTAAGACCTAGTCATTTGATAGCATTTATTGGGTAGTGGGTCTCCACTACAGATTTATGTAAGCTCCAGGCCAAGTTTCTGCCACTTGGCTTAATGTCATCCTCAGGTGCTATTGAGAATGGAACCTCTTTGACTACAGGATGTGGGAAGTCTGAAAGGTGTTCCATTTGCAAGGCCCAGAAGATGCCCCAGTTGCTTTGCAGAAGGTGCCACAGACCCAGACACAGGCCCCGGTTTGCTGGTGGGCCGGTCTTGTACTGACTCATGGTCAGCAGTTTGACTTGCTCCTCACTGATTATAGACTACAAGAAGGCCTGGTGTGATATTGACTTGGCTAATAGTTTTCATCTCAAATAACAACTCTGATCAGTAGCTTCGTTGAAAATGATTCTGTCATCACGGTGGTTTTGTGGCATAGCAGAGGCTCTTGGTGCCCTGTCCACATCATCTCGGATTACTGTCCCAGAATTTGCTGACAATATTCTACAACAAAGCCTAACTGGTGATTTTTCCTCCATGTAGTGGGGAGGGGCAGGCCAGAAACACTAAAGGGTTAATTTCCTGGAGGCAGCCCTCAGCTCACAGATGGAAAAAAAAATGTTGTATTAGTTTGCTTGGGCTACCATAACAAAATACCATGGACTGGGTGGCTTAAACCACAGAATTTTGCTTTCTTACAGTCCTAGAGGCCGCAAGTCACAGGCCAAGGTGCCAGTTGATTTGATTCCTGGTGAGGGCTCTCTTCCTGGTTTGCAGACGGCTGCCTTCTCTGTGTCCTTACCTGACAGAGAGAGTGCACTCTGGTGTCTCTTCCTCTTCTTATAAGAGCACAACTTCTATTGGATCAAGACTCTACTCTGATGACCTCGTCCAACCTTAATCACCTCCTTAAAGGCTCCATCCTCAATACAGTCACATGGGAGGTTAATGCTTCAACATATGGATTTTAGGGAGGCACAATCCAGGCCATTGCAAACATGGTAACTGGTTAGCTATGTCTGCTGTGGATGAAGGAAAAGGACAGTGTGGACTCAAATGGTGGCTTGAGCAGCATTGTGGGATTGTTAGGGACAGACATCATGTCTCATTTATATCCACCATGGCACCTGACCCATCCTGGGAACCAGAGTGTGACCACTATCCAGTTATCACCTGTGTCCAGTGCAGATTAGAACTTTGCAGGGCCTCAGCTGGGAGGGCCCTGGGCAATGGGAGCTGCTCAGAGCCAAATAAAGCAGGGCGTGGGCAGGCAGGCTTTGGTGCTCTGAGTGGGAGGCCACGCAAGCACTGAGAATGGGACAGGATGACCAGAAGGCAGCATGACCTCTTGCCCTGTGTCCAGGAGAGATGAATCCCAGGTGCTAGCCAAGAACACCAGAGAAAGAAGTAGAGGCCTCTGAAAGACAGGACCAGCCCATGTGCCCTGGCAAGTGTGCCTGTCCAGAAGGCTGCATTTGCAGGTCATGGACGCATGGGTTGAAAGGGCCAGGGTGTCCAGAGGCCAGAGCCCAGGAGCAGGGCCAGGAAGAGAAAGAGGAAAGCCTGAGGCCTGGGGCTAGACACGGGGCTCACCGGATCATGGGTCAAAAAAGTGGCTTTCAGGGTCAGACAGCCAGACCATCATCCAGGGGACATATCTCAGGGGGACAACTGGGACTCATCCTAGAGGGGTGGGTGGTGGAGCGAATGGGCATAGGAATCTTGCCTCCTTACCCTCCTTCCACCCAAACTCTGAGGCAGGTGAGCCGTAAGGTGCCTAGGCCTGGGGGTGGGGGCCGTGGGATGGGATTGGGGTGCAGCTCAGATAAACAGCCCTGGGAGCCACAAGCTGCCCCACCCAGCCCAGGCGTGGCCCTGCAGCCTCTGTGTTGGATTGGATCTAATTTCTGAGCCTCTGGACATCTGGGTCATATTTGGTTTGGTCTGTCCTGGTTCTCAGCAATGTCCTGACAACCACCACTTTGATCTTGACTGGAGAGCTGGGCAGCTGAGTCCTCAGTGGCCCTATTATGCTCCCAGGCAGAGCTCAGGCCTGCTAGCCTGCTCCCCCTCCCCCAACAGTCCCCAAGAACAGACGTGGGGCAGGGAATACTTGCTTTAGTCGAACTCTGGGGCTGCTTAAAAAGCCCGAGGCGCAAGAGGGCTCCCCGGGGGCAGGGTTTGGAGCCTCCCCTAGAGCTGCTGAACTGCTAAGAAAAGCAAACTCACACCAAGGAGGCAGGTGAGAGGCCGGGCGGGCACCACCTGCATCTGGTTTATTGTTCTGTTTTCTCCAAACTTAGCAGAGCAGAATGTGAGGCCACCTGGGGGGCGGCTGGGCCCGCTGCGTGGGGCCAGCCAGAGTCATTGTGAGTGTGTGGGGCCAGAGTCCATGAGACATCCACTGGGGGAAGACCCCAAATACAGGAGGCCTGGCACCCCCTCTTCTGCCTCCTCCATGCCCAAAGCCCCCACAGGGAGGCATGATGCGGCAAGCATGAGAGTGCAGGTCTCAAAGGAAGTGGGGGCAGCTGCGGGGCCAAGCAGCTGTTGGAAGCTCCACGGGAGCCTGGGCAGGCCTCCCGAGGCTGCGGGGCGCCACCCTTTCGCTGCAGAGAAGTTGGGATGCTGGGCCAGTTGAGATGGGTCAGATGCAAACAGGACCTTTCCAGGTCACTTCTCCCTGAGCTGTCCTCTTTCCCACGGTCCCCATCCCACGCTCCCCTCACTCAACAACCCTGGTCTGCACAAGATCCATCTCTTTCAGAGGAACCAAGACCCAGACAGTGAGGCCCAGAATCCCAGCACCTCCCTGCGATGCTGTCCTGCCAAGAGCATCTGCACAGTGCTGGGGCTTCTGACTACCCCAAGACAGGGAGGCGAGAGAAGCCTGTGGGGCTGCTAGCGGGGAGGCTTGAGCATGGGGTGAAGGCCTCTCCCCGTTCAGCTCACGGGTTGAGGTCCGCCCATGGCCCTGGCCCTGCATCTGTCTGTGCCACCATCCGGGGTGTGGCTGTGAATCCCAGAGGGACCTCCAGTCCGGGCTCCATGGGAACAGCTGCAGACCTGGTGGGGCGAGAGAGGGAGAGAAGAAGGTCGGGGAGGAAGGCTGGCTGCCAGGGGACAGGAAGCCACTTCTCTCTACCTGGTCAGCTTGGGTTACTGGGGTGGGCCAAGTACCTCAGAAAGCTGTCTAGATGGGCCCCGGGGAGGAAGACTTGGACCCCAGCTCCCCATCCCTGTGGGGCTGCTAGCGGGGAGGCTTGAGCACAGGATGAAGGCCTTTAGAGAGCAAGCACATCTCAGGGCCAGGTGGGGCGGGGGAGGCCAGACCCAGCCAGAGACCTACCGTAATTAGGAGTATGCCAGGCCCTGAAGCCCCCGGGCTGGAGAGTGAAACTTGTCAGAATCCTCAAAAGACTGGTCTGCAGTAGTCAAGGAAAAAGGAGCCATAAGCCATGTGCCACCTGGGAAGCCACCTGCCTGTCACTCTCTGGGCTGGAGACAGCAGGCAGGGGATATAGCACTTTCTGAAGGCAGTCAGCCATCCCTAGCCCTGGCCCATGGCAGCACTGCAGATCGGGGTGAGGGGTGCCTCTCAGATGCTCAGGGGATGCAGCCCACGCCCTTGCTCCCTACCTCCCTCAAGAGAGAGACGACCCCAGGCTCCTTCTCCCAGGGTGGCCTCCTTCAGAGGGCCCATCTGCTTCCTCAAGCGCATGGCCATGTACCAGGGCAGAAAAGGAAAGAGGCCAGCCTCCAGGAATACTGACTGACATACCCACAACAGCATCCTCTGTGCCTCCCACACCTACGAAGTTTGTCACTCCACCACTCCCCACCCCTACCTGACCCCCTCCCATGGTTCTCTTTGCTGGCAGGAGAAATTGGTGACCCTCTGTTCTCTCCATCCTTCACATTCTAAGCTCCAGACACACCTAAGAAAAATTATCCAAAACTTGGAAATAAGGCAAAAAAAGTGACTGTGTATCCTTTCAAAGCCACCGTAGAGCATTATCAAATAAGCCCATCTTAAGAGTCATCTTATTCTGGGGCATGTGACGTCTTTTGACTTCACGCTACTGGCTAGGGCCCAGGCTTTGCTCGGTTGGATGGATGTTCACTTGGAGGAGGCTGAGAAATGGCTGATGACTTCTCATTGGTAGAAAAGACAGTCCCCAGAGGAAGGTTACAAGTTTATTGCTCTGTAGAAGCAGTTTGCAGCCAGCAATCTTATTCCAGCCCTCCTTGTTTTACTGGCTTCAGTCTCTCACTGTCTCCTTTAAGCCGCTCTGTCATCCTGTTAGCTCCCTCACTGATGAGTTAAATAAATCTTTGGCATATATTTGTATGTTATTTATTTATTTACTTATTTACTGAGACAGAGTCTTGCTCTCTTGTCCAGGCTAGACAGACTGGAGTGCAATGGTGCAATCTCAGCTTACTGCAGCCTTGACCTCCCAGTCTCAAGTGATCCTCCCACCTCAGCCTCCCGAGTAGCTGGGACTACAGGCATGCGCCACCACACCCAGCTCATTTTTCTATTTTTTTTAGAGACGAGGTTTTGCCATCTTGCCCAGACTGGTCTTGAACTCCTGATCTCAAGCGATCTGCCCACCTCGGCCTGCCAAAGTGCTAGGATTACACGTGTGAGCCACTGCATCTGGCCATGTTATGTTCTTAATGTTTTGAACGTGGGCTCCAAATCTCTGCCTTCCCACCCACATACCTTCAGCCTAAGGTCTACTCTATCTAGGGCATTCCTCCCCCACTAAGAACCCCTGCCTTCTTCAAACCTTGCTTGGGCAAGTCCTTCCCTGAATATGGGCTACCCTCTGGATGGGTCACCAAGCAGCCCCCTTGCCCTCCCGCCCTCCCTGGCACAAAAGTCTGTTATTGTTTGAGTCACCATCACAGGCCTGCCTGAACTGTGCAGAGGGGGTTCCCTGGTGGGAAGGGACCCCATTCTGTGTGCAGGGCAGGGCATCAGCACAGTTCTCAGAAGCTTCTGGGCTGCACCTAGTTGCTCTGACTGCCCTCAGGGTAGCCGATTCTGTGGGACGCTGCGGACATGTATCATCCTCAGTTGTTCTCCCAGGCCCTGAGCTTTCCCATCCTCTTTCCAGCGTCCCCGGACTCTCATACAGGGACCCTGGAGCACAGAGGCTCCATAGAGCATTTTCCACAGCCCCCTCCCCTGTCTCAGCCTGGAGGCTGCCCCACCTGCCCCTGCCTTGGATTTGGAGATGGTTCTGGGGCCCAAGCCACTGGCCTTGCTCTTGTGATAGGCATCCCAGCCTGATCAGCCCCTACATCAGGCTGAGGAAACCATGAGGGTGTCTCTTCCTGCATCTCAAGGTCATTCCCCAGGAACTAATCTCAAGATGCTGTTAGAAAAATACATTTTTGTGCTCAAATAAATTTGCATCTCCTGTTTCCTAGAAGGTTCACAACGTACCCTGGCACATGAAAGGCTCTGACAAATTCTTCAGTAGCCACTTACGTAATTTCAACACTGATTCTTTCCTAATGCTCTGTTGCTCTGACCCATTATTGTCTTGGGGAATACTCAATAGGACGTGCTCTAACCCAACCTCTTCCAGATCAGTGCCCCACAAACTGCACTGCAGCCTTCTGTGTGGGTGTGAACGGTGCCCTTCTGACTCATATATTCATTCAATAATTTGACTATTTATTAAACACCTGCTGCATGCCAGATTGAGTCCTAGGGGATCCCGTGGAAGCATCCCTTAGCCAGAAAAGAAAACACCTGTAAGCCTCTTAGGGAAGACACTGGCCCTGGCCCCCACCATCCCCATCAACAAGGACCTGTTCTGCCCCACCCACATCCTGTTGCCTCCTCCTTTTCCACAGCCAGTCCCTTCCTCTGTCCTCCCAGTGAGTTTCCAATCACCACGTGGATAGGAAAGGCTCTGCTGGTTCAAAGGTTCTGCTGCACATGGGTAAAGTGAGAGAACAGCCATTTCATGAATGGGATGTGGGAAGATGACTTGGTCTCAAGTCCTAATCTGTAAAATGCGGGGAGGGAAGCTGGGCTAAGCCTCTTCTAAGGTCAGTCCCCTTCCATGGTCAGCGACCCAGTCCCTCACAGTGGTGTGTGCTACCCTCTGGTGGACACAGGGAGGCACAGGTACAGGCGTGCAGCCCACCAGCTCTGAGGGTCTTTGCTCTGGGCTCAGCTGGATGGGGATGGAGTGTTGGGGTAGTTTCTAGACCTCATCAACTGTGATTTGAGTCTCTTCCCCTTGGCCAAGTGGTCAACTGAGAGCATCCAGAATGGTGACCATCCCAGGCTGGGAGGCCAGGGCAGAGGGGGCCAGAGGGACCTCCCTGGACCCCAGCAGAGCTCCCTGCTCTCCGTCCTCCAAGAAGAGCAGGTTAGCCAGCATGAGGCACTGGTGAGATGTGGACAGAGCAGGCCCCTGTAGCCCAGCTGCTCCACAAGGGCCCTTCCTTCCTGCCACAGTGAGGCAGGGTGGATCACTCACCTGGAAGCCCCTCTCCGTGGGCTCTGGGGCAGGCCTGGGGTGGGGAGCTTGGGGGGCGCAGCACGGGGGCGAAGGCGCTCCTCTGTTTGACGGCGGAGATCATGTTGACAGGCGAGAAGGAGAACACGCTGGTGGTGGGGGCAGCGGCCGGGAGGGACATGGAGGAGGCAGCCGCCAGCGGGGGGCTAGAGGGCATGACTCCGGGGCGGGGCGGGGAGGGGCAGGCGCAGCAGGGAAGGTGGTGGGAGACACAACAGGGAGACAGCACCAGAGTGAGCAGCTTGGCTGGGGCCCCACATGGGCTGCTGACACAGGTACCAGGCTCAGATCTCACTGGGAGCTGTGAGGGTCCTGGGCCAGCCCTGACCTCTCAGCGGTTCTGGAGACCTTTTCTCGGGGCTGGGGATGACAGGGCCAGACCAGGTAAAGACAAAAGCAAAACCAGAACATTCAAAAAAAACAAACAGTGGGAGGTACCCCCCAAAAATGAGATGAGCAACAGCTGGACTACTTCAGGATTTCTGCTGAAAACCCCTGGGATTCTGAGATGCTAGGAAACATTTATGAGCCTTGCTTGGGGTGCCAAGGCTAGAGTCATAGTTCAGGAGTCACAGAAGAGCTGGAACAAGTAGTTAGGGATGAAGTTTGGGGGAACGCACAGGCTCCTGTTATAAGCCTCTCTGCCCAGCATCACAAACAGCACTCCAACTTCCTCCTCAAATATGCTCTCCTTGCCAATGTTCCCTATGCTCCTCTGTCCCTCTCCCACTTCCCCCTGCACCCTGGGGTACTTTGTTTCCTTACAGCTTAATGCAGGTCCTTGTCATCTCCAGCCTGGGCCCTGTGGGGGGGGGTGGTCTCCTGAATCTCCCACTTCCAGCTGGTCAATTTTAAAGCAAATTGCAGGGATGTACATCCTCAGATCTTCCTGCTCTCAAACTCCCTAGCCACCCAGGCTGCGGCTTGCCCTCCTGGGAATGGCAAGGGAGCCTCCTGCACACAGACTTTGCCTGCCCCCTCTTCCTGCAGCCTCCTCTCCTGGGGGCTCAGGCCTGGGGCATCGCTGGATCCCACCTTTCTACATCCTCATCTGAACCCAATTCCCTGCCTCTCTCCTGTAAAGACTGGTAAGGCTGTGATCTGAGTATTGTCCAGGCAGCAGGCAGTGGGGTGGGTGGGGCTTCCTGGAAGAAAGCAATAGCCTGAGAAGGCTGCCTTTGGCATCAGAGGGCCCTCCTACCTCCCTTGATACAAGAATGCCTTCAACAGCTGCCCCTCTTCCAAATGCCCTCAGCCTCATCTCCTTTAAGACAACAGTTACTGCCAGCTGGAGAGGCCCCAGAGCCCGATGAAGGGCTTGAGACCAATGCCAGAAAATGTACTATAGCTCTCAATGCCCAGGGCTCACGGCCACATTTTGTACCTTGGGTAGGTAGTGTGGGGAGTTGTGATTCATTCCAGGGTTGCTGGTGGCTGAAGCAGAAAAACAAAGAGAGACCCAAGCAAACAGCCCCTGAGCCTCTGGCTGGGGCAGTTCTGATGTCACTCCAGGAATGTTCTCGCAAACTCAATGAGAATGACACCCCTTGGAGTCGGGCCACAAAGCACCCTGAACGTGGGGAGTGGAAGGGTACCTGGGTAAGCCTCGGTCAAGACAATATCATGAAATGGGACCAACCCTCCCTCAAGTCCAGTGTGTCTCCAGCTGATGCTGGGTTTAAGCAGCTCTAGAATTCTTGATCTTCTTGCTGAATCAGAAGACCCCAGCTGGGCTGGGTTCTGCACACTGGGGCAGAGTGTTCCTCTACTGTTGACCACAGTGTATGTGATGTTCCATACCCCCACCAGTGTTGGCCCAAGGGGGTGCCCACAGAGAGGCTGTGAGGGTACTGCCCCAGAACTGAAGGGAAGGAGGAGCAGTCAATCCTGGCCTGAGCAAAGAGCCAGGAGAGGCAGGGGCCTTGGGAGGGACACCAGAAGGCCATGGCCTATGTGGACTCTGGCTTATGGGGCCTTGGGTCCCAGAAGTTGAGCCCAGGCCAGAGGACAGGGCCAGGCTCAAGCCTTCAGCCAGAAAGCAGGCAGGACACACGCCCTGCAAGGAAAGCCAGGCTGGTGGACAGACAGTGCAGTCTCGGCAATGGCAAATATGGGACAGGGAGAGGAGAGGGCACCACGGGCAAAGCCATGACCAGTTCCTTCTGGGACAGCCTTCACCACCTCTCCAGCTCGGCAGAGTCGCCTGGGACTTCAGGGACAATCTCTCTTATGATTGATAGGGAGGCTTCTTGCAGGTGACAGGAGTGGGGGGATCCCCCAAGCCCTGGGCTTTGCATACAGTGGGCGCTTTATAAATGCCTGCTGAATAGCTAAGCTAAAAAGAGCTGTGAACATGCTGATCTGGAACTTGATGATGGAAGAGTCTTGAGGGCAGTGTAAAATGACAAGGCATCAAAGCCGTTCGGAAGGTCACTCACTCATGACATGCAGACATTGCCTGTCCACCCAGCTCTGAGCTCCCCACTCTAAGAAGCCAGATGGGATGTGGTCAGCGCCCACAGTCAGGGCTGGGACTCCGAAATCACACACTGGCCCTTTAGGCACAGTGGCACATTCAGATCCGAGATCAACCTTAAGCAGGGGGTGGAATTGACCCTATTTGACTGCGAGGAAACAAGTTCAAATAAGTAACTTGCTGAATGCCCGGCAGCTCCTGATTTGGACACTGAAACTCAAATTCTGTCTGATCACACAGAACTCGCTCGCTCTGCCGGACGACATCGCGGGGACCACATCCTCCCCACGCCCACCTGGCCTCTGGAGTCCTGGGAGCTGGGGGGCGGCTGGAAGCCGGCTTCCCTCGAGCCCTGAGTTTCCTTAGGCTTCCGGCAGGCGGCGCCAGCCTCCTCCCCAAGTCCGGGCGCGAGATGGGAAGGGGGCGGTGTCCCAGGTTTCAGATGGACGCCCGCCACCCATTAGAGCCCACTTCAGGGGGACCGGAGGCCTAGAAGCGATGTGCATAACGGACCGGCAAAGAAGGCTAAAAGTGCACGGAGTACTCTGGCCCCAGGACCCCGGGATGTGCAGCCTAGGGGTGGGGTTGAGGTTCTGCGGCAGGGGAGGTCCCAGGCGGGGACGGTGGGCCTGACCCCGAGGGCTGAGCCAGGGTCGACTCTCACGGCGCCGGCGCCCCAACCTCTCCGGGATGGGCGGGGGCGGGGCTGAGTCCCGTTCCGCTCCCCGGCCCCAGACCTTCCCTCGCGGGCGGGGGACACTCACTGGCGAAGGGCGAGGTGGCGGTGGAGCCATTGAGGAAGCTGGGGGACCCAGGCACGCCGAGGCCGGCCACGCCCGGCGCGCCGTAGCCGCCCAGGCCAGCTCCGAGGCCGCCGCCGTAGCCGCTCTGCTGCGAGCCGGGGCTGGGCGCGAACCCGCGGGGGGACGCGCTGCTGCAGCTGCGCGCGTAGCCTGCGAGAGAGAGCGCGGCCGTCAGGGGGCGGTGCCGGCCGGGGAGGGGCGGTGGCGGCGCCCGAGGACGGCGGGGAGGCGCGGCCCACGCACCCGGCTCGGGCCCCGGGGTGGCGTCCCCGACGGCGATGGCCAGCGGGCTGCTGAAGGCGTTGATGCCCACGACGGCGGGGTGTGGGTGGCTCGGGGCCAGGGGTGCGAGCGGCCCGGGTGCGCGGGGGGTGCTGTACAGAGCCTCGGCCACGTCCGCCGCGCGCTTCAGGAGCAGCTCCTGCGAAGACAAGAGCGGGGCACGGCCGGGGCAGCCGCGGGCGCCGCGTGCTGGGGGGCCCCGGTCCCGGCGGCGCTGGGAGGGCGGAGGCGCCATACCTGGTTACTGCCGGGCACTCCGTACAGGGCTTCTGCCAAGTCGGCCGCCCGCTTCAGCAGCACTTCCTGGGGACAGGGGGAGAGACAGCGGGACGGAGGGGCAGCCCCTGGGGGCGACCAAGGGGCCCTCGGGAGCCCCTCCTCACCCCCTTGCCCACAGGACACCCTCAGCCCCGCCCCGCCCCGCCCCTCTGAGTACCTTGGGCAGCCTCTCGGGGTCTCCGGGGTGTCTGGGAATGACTTTCTGTAGCCTCTGGAATCCGTAGTCAATGGTGGGCTCGTTCAGAGCTGGGGAAGGGGGCGGCGTTTGGAGGACGTCTCCCCCGCAGCCCCCCACTCCCAGGGTGAGACGCAGGGCGCCAAAAGCAGGCCAGCGCCCAGTCCGAGAGCCTCGCTGCAGCCCCCTCCACCAGGCCCAGCCCAAGTCCCCCGGAAAACTCCAGGCACCCCCGGCAGCGAGATTCAGGGAAGTTTCAGTTCTTTCGTTTGTTTACTCAACAAATATTTACTGAGCCAGCCTCTGTCCTCGGCCCTAGGCGCTTGGTATGAACACACATGCACCCATTTGTGATTAGAAAAAAGGGAAACCGTATACACATATGAGTTATAGTCCTAAGGGCAGGACTCGATGGAGAGTTTTCTCTTTTCATCTGGTCAAATCAGGAGTTTATTATAAAAAAGAAAAAACTTAACAATCTCCATTTATCACGGCTCAAGTGGACTCTCTGCAGCATCTGAAGGCTAGAGGTTTGCATGCACCCCAGGGAAGCAACTGGAGAAGTGGGTGGCTTGGGCTGGGGCGGGAGGATGGAAGTAGAGAAGATCCGGCCAGCGGCCAGATTCTACATTGCATCTCCACGTGTGTTGTGTTCACTGCTTACCCTGGCGTTGTGCAAGGGGTGTGTGTGTGTATGCGCGTCTGACCCAGCTCCCCACGCCCTTCTCCTCCTCCTTCCCCTTTTCCTGATCCCCGCACCGCCCTTTTCAGATAGCCTGGCCCCGACCTAATCCACCAGTCTCAGAGCCCTACCTTCACCTCTGATCCTGACTTAGTGGATTTCCTTTAGTTTCCCGGCAAAGAGAAAGCACTCACTTCTGGGGATCGGTCCTTATCATTCCTTCTGCAACCACCCTTCCTTCCCCAGGTCAACCTCCCCACTCAGCCCTCGGGTTTCGGTTGAGCCGGGCTCAGCAGGCACTCCCTACCAAAGGTTTTCCTTGATTGTCAGCCCCTTGACCGCGTGACCCCACCCACCCCATGCGGTTCTCTGCTCAGCCTTTCCGCGTTAGACTGGAGCTCCGGGGAGGCTAAGTAGGGTCACTACCGAGTGTCCCTCGAAGGGCTCGATGAGCATCGGTGCGGGGGGCTGCGCGATGGTGGGGACTGCGGTGGGGTGGAGAGGAGAAGTGGGTGGCTCAGCTGGGGCGGGGCGGGAGGATGGAAATGGAGAAGACTCGGCCAGCGGCCAAATAGAGCCAGGCTGGGGGGTTCTACACTGCCTCTCCACGTGTGTTCACTGCTCGCCCTGGCGTCGTGCAAGGGGTGTGTATGTACGCACGTGTGTGTGCGTGTACATGCAGAGTGAGGCCTGGGGTAGCGTGGGGGAACCAAGAGACCCAGAGAAGATTCGGGGAGCAGCGACCCCATTGGCATCTTTGGAATAAACATCCCTTTGGAGAGGCTCTAAACCCTGGAGAGTGCGGGCGGGAGACACAATGTTCAGGAGGTGAGATGGCTGAGGGAGTAAGAATGTTGGTTGTGGGGGGGACTTTGCCCCGGGGAAGGGACTAAGGAGCCAGAGGCCAGGGAGGGAAACACACAGAGCCAGGGAAAGACGGTCCTGCGAGCGGAGCGATCACAGGCATAGGTGGTTAAAGGGGCCCGGGGCCGTCTAGGGGTCGTGGCCACAGCGTAGAGCTCGGCTAACTCCTATCACCAAGAACGGAGACCAGTGCGCAGGGTGGGGCTCCCTCCGCGCACCTTAGACCTCCACTCCCCCGCCCGACTCCTTACCTGTGTAGACAAAGCGGCCGGGGCATCCCTTGCAAAACTGCTTGGACTTGTAGGAGAGGGTCACCTCCACCACCCCGGGGATGTGCCGCGGGGGCGTCTGCACCCGGATGGCGTGGGGCGTGATGAGCTGCGAGGGGAGAGGGGAGGCCTGCAGGTCCCGCACCGGCGAGGGGAGGGCCCAGCCCCTAGGCCCAGAGGGAGACTGGCGGGGTTGGCCCACCTCGCTCCACACGAGCACGTTTCCGAACACGACCTGCAACCCGTCGAAGAAGTTGTCGCCGATGACAATGACGGTGGCGCCGCCCGTGGTCCAGCCCTCCCCGGGGCTGATGGCCTTGATGCAGGGGGTGGCAGCTGGGAGGCAGGAGAGGACCCAGGTCAGGGGACCGCGCTGAGGTGGGGCCTGGGGGGCTGGCTGGGCCCGCGGCGGCCGGGGCTGGGCCGGGGGTCCTGACCTTCGGAGGGGTCCAGGCGGCGCGCCCTGCGGCCATGCTTGGAGTTGTTGTGCACAAACATGTTGTCGGACACGGCCAGCACGTGTCCGTCCACGCTCACCGTCGTGGACACCACCACCTGCGGGGAGAGCCGAGGCCAGCCTGGCTGGGGCCCTCGGGGGCTCCCGGGAGGGGAATGTGGTGGGGAACCAGCACCTTGAGGCTGGTGGTTGGATGCTGGAATTTAGGGTCACTGGTGGGAGGAGGAGGGCTTCAATCCTGCAGTGTCTGAGCTGGTGGAAGGGGGCCAGCTGGATCAGGTGATACCCCCAGATGAACTGACTCCCCAGGCGCTACAAAAATAAAGACCCCTGAAAAAACTGGCTCCTTAGGCAAAGAATGGCTACTGTTTTTGCATACACAGAATGCTGGGTTGTATCCACGGACCTCCAAGCCAGGAATGGGGTCTTAGGCAAGTGGAGGTGGGCAGCATCAGCCGGAGAACTCAGCAGCAGGAGCCCCTGCCCTATTCTGGGGAGAAAACTGGGGCTGCCTTCTTCCCCCGCCCTGCACTGAGAGGGGTGTGCAGCTTGGGGATGTGCTAAGGGCAGCTGCTCTCCGCTTCACGCTATGCAAATTGCCTGGGTCGTTAATCATGTAAAAATGTCACAATTAGCATCTTCTTAAGTGGGACTCTAATGAAGCCTCCCTTGGCAGCCAGCACAAGTTGAGAAGGAGCTGCCCCACCCCCAGCAGGCACCAACCAGGCTGGGGAGGCACAGGGCTGGGCAGAGATCTGCCTTGGAGGCCTTTCCCAGGGTGGCAGGGTCACAGCCTTCCCTTCCCCCTCCCCTCCCCTCCATCAGGAAAGGGTGGGGTTGCAAGGGGAAACCCTCTCTCCAGACCCACCTGGAAGCGGCGCATGTCTCTGGGATTCCCCGCATTCTTCAGGCAGTTCTGGTTGCATTTGAGGAAGAACTTGAGGAAGAACCTGAAACAGTGTGGTCGGTGGGCTCAAGGGTCTGGGGGTTCTGGAAACAGATGAAGATCCAACTGCTCCCTGCCATGCCCCCTCCCCACAGGATGAGTCCCCTCTGCCTGCTCCCACTCAGGCACACATCCCATATTCCCATCATGGCCTCCATATACCAGGGTGCCTGATACACACCAGACAGACCCATCACAATGACAACTTCGCTATACAACCATACACACCGTGTGCTGATCACACAGGGCTTATTTATGCCACAAAGTGTATACTTAGCACTCCCACACAGTATATATTCACCATGAAGAGTAAGTCCATTATATACACTACCTATACTTATTACTCATTATACCCAACGCACTGTATACCCATCACACATACAATATATGCTCCGTATGTGGCGTGTACGCACACATACCCCATGTAATGTTATCACACACTGTGTATACGTCACAGTATATGCTCATCACCCATATAGCACATCTGTTATACAACACATCCCTCCCCAGAGTATACCCATCACCCACACCATGTACACTCCTCAGACACAGCACATTCTTTGTAGACACTGTTTATGCCTTGGATACTATTACTCACAAAATACAGCCATCACACACACTCGGGGTATAACCTTCACACAAGCATAAACAACATGTACTCCACATATAGCCTGCACTCATCCCACACATATGGCATACTAAGCAGACACAGAGCCTGTACCCATCATGCACGGTGTATGCCCACCCTACACAGTATATGCACAGAGAAATAGGAAATACACAGAACAAATACATTAATACGCATTTTATGTTGTAAATGATTACCCAAAATATAGTTATTGCAAATACTGTAAAGCCATCCCATATAGCAGATGCCCCCAGCAAATTCACCTCCCACATGGCATATCCTCCTCCCACACATTTTATATCCATTATACACATAGGAAAAGCTTAATCATACAGAGCACATACCCACCATATACACATGGTGTATCTGTCAGACATGTGGTACAGAGACACCGTGAATGTCTTCTTTTTTACATAGAGTTATTGGGAAAAAAACACATATGCGCTGATGAGGTTGCTTTTTAGACAAACACATGAGCACTTTGTCCTCCTCTCCTTCCTGGCAGTTGGCTGGGAGGGTGGGTCCTTGGTCCTGTCACCTACCAGTAAGGTAGCCATGGACAACATTCTGGCTGTTGTACTCTTTTTTTTCCTGTTTTTTTTTTTTTGTTTGTTTTGTTTTTTGTTTTGAGACAGAGTCTTGCTCTGTTGCCCAGGCTCGCCATGTCTCACTGCAACCTCCACCTCCTGGGTTCAAGCAATTGTCCCTGCCTCAGCCCTTGGCTTCCCGAGTTACAGGGGATTACAGGGGGATCACAGGGGCCTGCCACCACGCCTGGCTACTTTTTGTAGTTTTAGTAGAGACGGTGTTTTGCCATGTTGGCCAGGCTGGTCTCGATTCCTGACCTCAGGTGATTCACCCACCTCGGCCTCCCAAAGTGTTGGGATTACAGGCATGAGCCACTGCACCCAGCCCTGTTTAACTCTTGGTAAACTCGGAATATGATCAGTGTCTGCCTTATGCCTTATAGCACTCTGTGAGCATCTGGGAAGATACCCTTTACAAACTGTAGAGTGCAGGGCTAACGTCTGCAGTAGGTCCTGATATGTGGAACAGCCTCCTGGGCCACTGTATGAGTTTCTCCAGTCAGTCAGCTTCCTCATTTTACCTCCACCCAATTGGGAGATATTTTTACCATACTATTTACTAAAGCAAATACAAGAGTCCCAAACCTGGGGTGGAACTTTAACCACGGTATAGTTACTCATGTACTACTTATATACCCCAAATTTGAATGTTCATTTAATTCACCAGAGTTGCCTCCAAAGTCTGCAAACATTAAATTTCTGTTCAGAGGAAAATTTGTTACAGGTCCTGAAAGCCCAGTCCCCAAAAAGGAGGTCACCAAGTGCTGGGAGGAGTAAGCACCAGCCCTGGAACTGAGGTGTCCCCAGCAGGCAGCCCCTCCTTGGGAGCTGGTGGCAGTCACCTTCCTAGAGATACCTCTCCCTGGGGTCCTGCCTCTGTCTACATTCTCAGCACTTGTCATGTTCCCCCACAGTGGGCACCCCCTATATTTCCCAAATGGTGCACCCCTACAGTGTAGACAATCCATTTACCCCTGCAGGATACCCTGCAGTGCAGACAGCTGTTATGCCCCCAAACAGTAGTCACCAATGTGTAGATGCCATATATATCCCTATGGGTCACCCCAAGGTGCAGACACCTTCAGTGCTCCTGAGAGGTACACCTGCACAGTGGGCGCACTCCATTTCTCTCTTATTAGTTACTAATCACTCCCTACACCCCTTATGACACCCCATGGTGTAAACACACTACACCCACATGTGCGACATGTTCCTCATCCATGCCCCACATTCACATGTGACAGAGTATAGACTCCCTACTCACACACACAGGCAGACCAGCTCATTTAAATTAAGTACTCGTGTGCTCGGTCCTTTGGCAGGTGCTAGATGGAGGGAAAAACACCAGGATGGGGCATGGTCTCTGTCCTAAAGGGATTGAAGGCTCACCTTTGGATACCACTGAAGATGCGACAAGCATAGGACTGCACCAAAAGATGACACATGTGCCCACTGCACCCCACTCCACTCAAACCTACAGGATCAAGAGGAAGGGTCCTTGGGAAGGGGCCAAGATAGGGGCTCTGGCCAGGCCTGGACTCTCTGCATGACCCGGGGTAGGTAAATCCTTCCACACCCATGAAGGGAGAGTAGCGATTGACGGCTGCCGTGACACCTTCTAGTCCTGCCTCTGGGACATCCTTTACTTCTGCCCTCCCCAAGGCTGTGGTTTCCTGCTCCCTCACTGGCCCTTCCCCAAGCCTTTGCTCAGCAGGTCTTGCCACTGTCCCTTTACAGTACAGGTTTCATTTGTCCTTTGGGTCCACACCAATTCTCACGCCCTGTACAGCCACCATTTTCTGGCCACTCTAGGTTTCAAGGACCACCCCTTTCTGAGAGCCCTAGGGACCTGCCAGCACCTCTGTCTATGGGGACACCTCAGTGTTTGAGCCTGGCTAGCATTACCTGCAGAGTGTGGGTGAGTAAAAGCAGCTGCACAAGACCATGGCCTGCAGTGGGGGCTGAGGGTCAGTCCCCTTCTCCCTTCCCTTTGGGCCTGTCCTCAGAGCTAGCACATAGTCGAAACCATCCATGGTGTGGCTGAAACCTCACTCCCTTCCAGCTGGTAGTCCACGAGGCTTCTCCCAGTCAGAGAGCCTGCACCACCCCCTAAGACCAGCAGCGTCAGCGTCACCTGAGACCTTGCTACAAGTGTAGAATCTCAGGCCTCCCCTCAGACCTGCTGAGTCAGAATCACATCTCTGCATTCATACGCCCTCCAGGTGATGCTGGTTCACCCTGAAGTTTGAGAACTACCGCACTGGAGCTGCGCTACCCATTACTATAGCCACCAGCCCCACGCGGCATGAACCCTTGCAGTGTGGCTAGTCCGAACTTGAGATGTGCTGTAAGTGTAAAACACACATCAGATTTCCAAGACTTAGAAAAAAAGAATATAAAATAATTCATCAGTAATCTTTTATGTTGATTTCATGTGGGAATGCTCATCTTTTAGATATATTGGGTTAAATAAAATGCATTATGATAATTAGTTGTATCAGTTTCTTGTGGCTACTGGAAAATTTAACATTACATATGTGACTTGAGGCCTTGCTCAGTGGCTCGTGCCTGTAATCCCAGCATTTTGGGAGGCTGAGGTGGGTGGATCGCTTGAGGCCAGGAGTTTGAGACTAGCCTGCCCAATGCTGCGAAACTCCATCTCTATTAAAAATATAGAAATTAGCTGGGTGAGGTGGTGCATGCCTGTAGTCCCAGCTACTCAGGTGGCTGAGGCACGAGAATTGCTTGAACGGGGGAGGTGGAGGTTGCAGTGAGCCAAGGTTGAGCCACTACACTCCAGCCTGGGTGACAGAGTGAGACCCTGTCTCAAAAAAAAAAAAAAAAAGAAAAGAAAAAAAGAAAAAAGAAAAGAAAAAAGCATATTTACATACATATGTGGCTTGCTTGCATTATATTAATATCGGACAATGCTTCACTGGAGTGTATGTCTCTAGGGGAAAGTGACTCGCATTTACTATTGATTGATTGGAGCACAGACTATAAAGTTAAGTGCTAATTTGTAGAAAACTGATAAGATACAAATGATATTTGTCAGTGGGAGCTAAAAATTTTGATGACCTGATATAAAAATTAGCCGGGCGTGGTGGCAGGCGCCTGTAATCCCAGCTACTCGGGAGGCTGAGGCAGGAGAATCACTTGAACCCGGGAGGCGGAGGTTGCAGTGAGCTGAGATCACGCCATTGCACTCCAGCCTGGGGGACAAGAGTGAGACTTCGTCTCAAAAAAAAAAAAATAAAAAAAATAAATAAAAACTTTGATGACCTGGAGGTAGAGCATGGAAAGACAGATAATAAAGACTGGGAAGGGTGAGTTGGGGGGCAGGGAGAAGAGAAGTGGGTTATAGGGTACAAATAGCAAGATAGAAGGAATAAACTTGATGTTTGATAGCAGAGTGGGGTGACTATACTTAGCCAAAATGTATTGTACCTGTGTGATGGACACCCTAAATATCTGGATTGGATCACCACACATTGTATACTTTCACTTGTACCCTGTGAATTTATACTCCCCGCCCCCAAATTCATATGACTTGGAAACAAATGATATTTGTCAGGAGAAGTAAATAATTTCTGTTTGGTGGAGAAATTAGCCCTAAAGATGATAAAATTGTCCTATGGACATTAACTAGCTTTATATCTAATTTGGCCATCTTATTCCAGTATTTTCCACACAATCCCTTGCCTCTCCCTCCCTCCCCTCAACCCCTTTCCATATACGCACGCACTCACACACTCGCACATGTATCACTTTCTCTTCGTCTTCTTTGAATCAGCTTTGTCATCCCATTGGTTCCCTCATCAATAAGTTATAGAAAACTTTGATACATGCTCAGTAGCAATTTGTATGAGAATCACGCTTTTGACATTTTGAAGACTGTGCTTTGGCAAAGGTGACCCGCCCCTAAAGGCTCCTGCCTTCCAAGGCTGGACCTGGAATTAGAGGACTTCCGTTGGGGTCTAGAACCAGGAGCAGTGCCCGGGCTCTCCCCTGGACCTAGAGAGACTGCCGACCCTCCGGGTGCCGCTGCCTGGTCCTCTCCTTGCCCACCAGGGGGAGACAGACACACCGCAGAGGCTGGAAGGGCGAACGTGAGAACAACCCAGGAGAATTCTCCCTTGGCTGACGCCCAGGGGGTGACACTTTATTCCACCTGAGCAGTCAGGGAAGGATGAGAATGGAGTCAGGGAAGAAGAAGGAGGGGCAGCAGGTCCTCCAAGCCATGTCTGCACAGAGGCCAGATGTGGGGGCTGGGGACTGGGGGAGAGTGAGAGACCTGGTGGGCAGGGGAGTTGGAGGGAGACACACACATGGAACACATGTGGACATGGGAACTGCGGGCAGGTGTTCCCCTTGAAAGAAGAGAGCCTGGGAAGGGGCTGGGTAAGTGAGGACAAGGTTCTGGGCCTGGGACACCCTGTAGGGACTTGAGGCAGGAAGGGATGTGCACTTTGTTGAGGGGCTTGAAGCCCTGCTTGTCAGCATGGAACCACCCCCCACCTCTAAAGCTTGGATGAGCCTGGGGGTGTTCTCTGAGCACCCCTCCCCACTCCTGGCCCTATGGGGCTGAAAAGGAGTCTAGGAAAGCCCGTTTTTCCTGACCAGGATGGGGGCAGGGGGCAGGGAGTGGGGAGGAGTAAAGTGAGCCCAAGTCCACAGCCCTCTCTGACCTGAGGATCCCCATGGAGGGTGACCACTGCAGGACCAGTGCCCAGTGCCATCCCACTGTGGCCATGAGGCTCTTGGAGGGCATGGCTTCCTAATCCAGACCCCACAGAAAAGGGAGTAAGGGAAAGGCCAAGTCGCAGAAGCTTCCATTAGGATTACTGGAAGAAAACACCATAAATACAAGCATGACTTACAAATGAAATGCATTAGGGAGGTAACTATGCAAAAACAAAACAAACAAACAAACAACAAAAAAAGAAAAACAGGGAACCAGGTCTAACCCATCAGGCACTCAGCACCTTAGCAACTGCCCAGAACGCTGCTGAGTTTGTCACTTTGGCATTATCTTGCTCAATCCCCCAGGTCGTGTCGGTCTGCAACCATTCCCACTTTACGGATGAGAAAACCAAGGCTAAGCTATTGACTGTGACTTGACAAAGTCACAGTCAATGCTAAAGTAAGGATATGAAAACGGGTCTTTATGAACCACTGATGCCGACAAGAGTCCTAGAAGTCCTTCTAAGTGGGGCTCTCAGAGTCCGACCCAGGCTGGTACTGCAGCGGCAAGCCTGCCTTCAAAAGCAGCTCTGAGAGGCAGGCTGTGTGGGGACCAGGATAGTATGTTGTGGGGATTTCCTCGAGGTTACAAATTCAACAGGGTTGCAGAGGTCAAACTCAGGTCCTCTTGCTCCTAGTTTTGGGCTTTTGGCTGTTGTGACTGCTGCTATCAGTCGAGAAGATCTTCAGTATTAAAAAACAATGGAACCAATAGTTAAAAATTGTTCTAGCTCATTGGGGCTATATGGGCTTCATTATTCCATTCTGCCTGTATTCCACATTCTCAATAAAAACTTTAATGAAAGACCAGAAGAAGAGCTGTGAACAGTGGTCATCCAACTAATGAAGTATCTAAAGGATGGTAGTTATGCATCATGACTCTGATGCCTGTGACTTAAAGGAAAGCTCAGAGTAGTTCACCCACACACCCACCTTACCACATCCTGAACTTGGTTTAGCCTTCGTAATCATGTCTATAAACGCTTTTTATTCCTCCCCATAAAAACAGCTCAAGATGAAATGAAAAGAAACGTCTTGTCCATGGAGTATTTCCTACCAAAGAAGCAAACTCTGGGTTGAGTATGGCTAAAGTGCAAACATTTAACTTATACACTACTTCTCAGGGGTGACACCATTGCATTAACTCCCCAAGCACAGTGCTTTACTCAAAAGAGACACTCAGTAGAGAAGGCAAGTGTGAAGGCAATTGATGTGAGTCCACTGTTAAATTCTAGGTTTTCAGGGGGTAGAAGGCAGAGTGGGATGGAGCTGCTTTTTTTTTTCAGTCAGGGTCTCGCTCTGTCACCCAGACTGGAGTGCAGTGGTGTGATCTTGGCTCACTGCAGCCTTGACCTCCCAGGCTTAAGTGATCCTCTCACCTCAGCCTCCTGAGCAGGTGGGACTACAGGTCACACTACCATGCTCAGCTAATTTTGTTTATTTTTTGTAGAGACGGAGGTCTCAGTACGTTGCCCAGGCTGGTCTCAAACTCCTGGGCTCAGGCGATCCTTCTGATTCAGCCTCCCAAAATGCTGAGATTACAGGCATGAGCCACCATGCCTGGCCTGGAGCTTCTTTTGGAAGACAACGTCCAGGAACTTTACAGTGAGTTGATGCCTGCCTGATTCCCTCATGCCCCAGCTGCAGTGTAGACTGTCAAATGGCTCGCAGCTGCCCCAAGGTAATCTGAGAATTACCCTCAGCCAAGAGCATATACTCCCCACCAGTAGCCCACAGCCAATGACAGATTGACATTACAAGGAGGACCAACTCTCTGGCCATTCACACTCCAGACCTCTGCATGGGATAGGCTGACGCTAGACTCCGACCGAGACCACCTCCTTGTTAAACTCCCTCTATACTCATTCCTTTTCTCCTGAGAGCTCTCCTTTGATAAACCTCTTTCACAAGAATCCCCATCTCAGGCTCTGCTTCCAGGAATCCCACCCTAAGAAAACTTAGGTCACAGAGCTAAGGCTTTTCACCAGCTTTTTCTTCCCTGCATCCCCATGAGATACTTAGGGCTGAAATTATGTTCTCACTTCCAAAGAGAAAGCTGTCAGTAACTCAAAGAGCTGGAAGGAGAGCCCGAGTGCATTTTCCACTACAGGTCTGTCAGGGGCAAGGAAGAACGTGTCTAGATTACAGTGCTCCCTAAGGGAACTTTTTCCAGAATGATATGCATTAGCCACGCATGGCTACTAAGCACTGGAAATGTGGCTAGTGCAACTGAGGAACTGAATTTTATTTCATTTTAATTAACATAAATCTATTTTTTTTTTGAAACGGAGTCTCGCTCTGTTGCCCAGGCTGGAGTGCAGTGGCGTGATCTCGGCTCACTGCAACCTCCACCTCCTGGGTTCAAGCGATTCTCCCGCCTCAGCCTCCTGAGTAGCTGGGACTAAAGGCGACTGCCACCATGCCCAGCTAATTTTTGTATTTTTAGTAGAGACAGCGTTTCACCATATTGGTCAGGCTGGTCATGAACTCCTGACCTCTGGTGATCCACCCGCCTTGGCCTCCCAAAGTGCTGGAATTACAGGCGTGGGCCACTGCGCCCAGCCATTTTAATGAACATAAATCTAAATAGTCACATGTGGCTCGAGACTACCATATTGGACAGTGCAGATCTAGAAAGAAGGTATGCAGTGAATGGATATACGAGCTGGGGCAGGATGTTCCAAACAACAGTGTGTCCTGTGAAGGCCTTGGGAAAGACAGCAGGTTAAGAGTGAAGGGTAGATTAAATTGGATATGTGTTTCCAAGCCCAAAGCTGGCACTGCAGCCTGAGATGGGGAAATAAGGGGACAGGGATCTCCGCTAATTTTTATCCTAAAAGATTTGTCTTGGGCTCCCATGAGCCTCCGAAGAAACTGAAGCAGTTTCTGGCTCTCCAGCGTGTTCACTGTCTGCTTCTCTCTACCCTCAGCTCAGGGACAGAGGAGGACACAGAGGGCTGGGCCATTCATCCCCTCATTCATTCCATACACCCACTTAAAAAGATTTATTAAATACCTTCTATGTGTTAGGCACTGCGGCATTGTATAAAATCTTAAGGAAATTACAACCCAACAGGAAAGAGAAACTCAGGAAGACAGAGTGGTGGGCACGGCAGGAGGATGTGCCAAGTGTAATCTGCAGTGGCCACTTATTTTGCCTAGGGGAGGCGGAATGCTTCCTAGAGCTCCAATTTGGTCTTGGGTGATGGGTCTTGGAGGATCTCACCGAGAAGTAGGAGGCAGGGCCCTCCATGCAAAGGGACTAACAGCTCCACCACGGGGCAGACGGCTCACTCGATCAGTGGTGCCTGACAAGACTGAGGAGGGCAGCGTGGCTTGGGGCCTGGGGTTGGGACCAAATCATGCGGGACTTGGATCCTCTGGGTGATGGGAAGGCTACAGGGGATGTCTCCCTTCAGGCAGAAACAGGCACCAAAGGGCCTACGCTAGAGAAGGGAAGGGAAATGAGGAGCTTACTGTAATAGTTCAGGCCCATGTGGGGTTGGCCCAGGCTGCTTCCTGGTCTTAGCCTGCGGTAGAAGCCAAGATAGACTGTCCCCAGGGCCACAGCCACCTGCCAGGCCTGGACCTGGCCTCCCCACCATGATCCCCACCCGGGTAGAGGTGGCTGCAGTGCAGATGGGCTGGAGGACTATAAATAGCCAGGGCGCATACATTAGCATGCCAATGCACCCGCACCCCATCCTCTATGCTAATGGCCCACCATGCGCCTGAACACCTTCTGTTCCCCTGCATGCATTTGCATGCACAATTAGCATAATCTTGTATAATTAATGAACAGCGTCAATTTTAGCTCCTAAGTAATTTGATTAACATGTTGATAGGGCACTTACTAGGCTCTCCAAACCTCAGGGCTGGGCATGGGGCCTGAGGAGAAGGGGAGGGGGTGTGGAGAGACTGCTAAGGGGCCCCCAGCTGCCCACCAAGAGTGGCAGTGGCTCCACTTTCCCCAAACCAGGCCTGAGGGGAGAGGAGGAAGGGTGGAGTGGCCACTAATGGGAGGCCTCTGGGCATGCCACATGCAGCGGCAGGAAGGGGCTGGTGCATGGTCACCATGGTGTGCCTGTGTGGACACAGATGTACACATGCACCCACACAAGTCCTCTCAAGCCTGGGGAGTCTTCTGTCAATGCAGGCTATCAGAGTCCACGAACAGAAGAGAAGGAGAGATAGAGAAAAAGGAGGGAGGAGGGGGGATGGGGCATGGACGGCAGCAGAAGCCACAGAGCTGGAAGGGGTGCTTGCAAGTCAGAAAGAGATTTAAAGGAGAAGGTGGGAGTCTGAAGGAAAGAAGTTGTGGGTTCCTCTGGCCTTGGGCAGAGGTGGTGGTGTAGATGAGACCCAGGCTCTAAGACCAGAGACCTTGGCACCTCTTATCTATGAATCAGGTGAGAGGTGGGTAGCGGGTATTAGCAAGGCCTGGCATCTTCTACAATTCACCAAGCACCCAGGGCAGAGAGAACAGACAGAAGATTAAGTGAGAATGTCCCCCTTCCTATTCAGAGAAAGACCCATCCCCAGCCTGGGATGTCTACCCCTGACTGTGGGCTCTGGTTCTGGAGGCAGGACGTTCCTCCTTGGTTCCCACTGAACTTTTTTTTTTTTTTTTGAAATGGAGTCTCGCTCTGTTGCCCAGGCTGGAGTGCAATGGCGCGATCTCGGCTCACTGCAACCTCTGCCTCCTGGGTTCAAGTGATTCTCCTGCCTCAGCCTCCTGAGTAGCTGGGACTACAGGTGCCATTTTTTTTTTTTTTTTCACATTTTTAGTAGAGACGGGGTTTCACCATGTTGGCCAGGCTGGTCTCAAAGTCCCGACCTTAAGTGATCCGCCCACCTCGGCCTCCCAAAGTGCTGGGATTACAGGTGTGAGCCACTGCGCCCGGCCTGAACTTTCTTGCTGCCGTCCAGGCTCAGCTGCACTTACTCTAAGATGATCGGTAAGGGTGGGGTGGCAGGAGGGTAAGAAATGACTCTGAGGCAGTCACTGTGCTGGGCACTGCATGAATACATCCTACTAACTCCACAGCATCCTCTCCTTCCCAGAATCACAGGAGGCTCATTGGTCAGCTCTATTTTACACATTAGGGAACTGAAGCTCTGGGAGGTGAGAACTTGCTCCCAGTTACATAGCCAGACATCCCAGGTTGGCTTGAGTCCCCAGCCCTCAATAACTCTCCACTTTGTGGAGAAAGCTTATTATTCAAGTTGCAGGCGGTTCACTCACTAGCCGCCTCCACTCCACCTATTATGGTTCCCAGGCTGCCTCATGCCTGCGGTCCCCCTCTTCCCCCAATCTTCTTTTCTTTTCTTTTTTTTTTTTTTTGAGACGGAGTTTCGCTCCTGTTACCCAAGCTGGAGTGCAGTGGCGCGATCTCGGCTCACTGCAAGCTCCGCCTCCCGGGTTCACGCCATTCTCCTGCCTCAGCCTCCCGAGTAGCTGGGACTACAGGCGCCCGCCACCACGCCCGGCTAATTTTTTGGTATTTTTAGTAGAGACGGGGTTTCACCGTGTTAGCCAGGATGGTCTCCATCTCCTGACCTTGTGATCTGCCCACCTTGGCCTCCCAAAGTGCTGGGATTACAAGCGTGAGCCACCGCGCCCGGTCCTCTTCCCCCAATTTTCTATGGAGGCACTGTCCAAATCTCTGCTCCTGTCTCAGCATGGAGGCCAGTCTGGCCCTAAGCTTGGCTTCGGCTGCCCAGAGGTCTCCTCATAAGTCCTTCCTCTTCATTAGGGGTCCTTTGTCCTTATGACTGGCATCTCAGCCTATATGACCTTCGGAGCACATGAGCGAATCTCTCTTGAACCCCCTCTGCTTCTCCCTCTCTCAAATGCTCTCAGCTCTGAAAAGAGTGGTGGGGGTTGGGGGGAATGGGGAAGGAAGTGCAGTGCATTCAGGTGGCAAGAGGGAAACCTTAGTCTCACCTCAGCACTGACCCAGCAGGGAGGTTCTGGAACCTCAAGGGGGATTGCCAGAATGGATCTGGACAGAAGTCTGTGCTTGCAGCATGAGTGTGGGAGATCCTGCTGGAAAGCGTGGAAGGAGATGGATGACATTGGGCTAGTTTTGTGGCTGTAGAGGAAAACAGGGAATGTTGCATTGACCAGTGGATTAGGAAGGGGGCTGATTCTTTTGCAGTTCCCACAGCCCCTTTCATCTAATTGCACTTATAATGTGCCTGATCTAGGGTCTAAATTTGCCCCCAATAGAGTAGACCAGAGCTTACCTTTGCCAGGTGGCTCGGACCTAAACTATTCCAATAGTGTCACTGAACAACACCCACCAGGCAGCAGGCACAATTAAATGCCAGGGAGTATCCATAGCCCCCAGCTTCTATCTATCCCTAGGAGCCAGAGAAGAGCTATGAGCCTCCCATGGGAGGGTATGTTTCCCTACCCCTGCCACAGGGTCATCCTGGCCAATCAAGCAAATATTTAAAGTCTTAGAGCTGTGATGTCAGATACAGTAACCATGTGTTATTTCTTAAATTTGATTTAAATTAAACACAATTAAATATTCAATTCCTCAGTCACGGTAGCTACAGTTCAAGTGCCCAATAAATATGTGTGGCTATTGGCTACCATATTGGTTGGTACAGAATATTTTCATCATTGCAGAAAGTACTATTGGATAGTGTGGTCTTCAAGCCTTACATTGTTTTCTATTTCTTCTTATTATTATGTAATTATAGATAATCTCTACTGACCTTTCTTCAAGTACACGAATTTTTTTCAAAATTATAAATTGTTGTTTACATAATTATATTTGTCTCCTCAACTGCTCTGTAAGCTCTCAGAGGGCAGGGATCATTGTTTAAGCCTCTCTTCTCCCAAGCATCCATCATAGTCCCAGCCCCACAACAGGTGCTGATTGATTCATGATAGAATTCAAGAGTCAAAAATTACTGTGACTGGATGAATGCTGGACTAAAGCCCCCAAGGCACTTTTAACTTGTGCCCAGGTAAGAAATAACAATTACAGGGACAGGACTTTGGGAATTGCTAAGTAAAGACCTCTGAAAATCCATTCTTCCATAAAGAAACAAGAACACTGGCAAACATGGTCAAAATCAACTTTCTCAGAACTCTAAAAATTAACAACATGTGTGCAACAACTCAAGGAACATTGAGGCAAGAAAAATGGCTGAGTTGTAATAAGAACAGAAAGCTTTGTGGTGTTTTAATTTGCCCTATTCCCATCCCCTACTCCCCAGCCCTGTTGAAGACCAGCTACCTTGCAACCACTATTGTAGTTGTGAAAACTAGCAAGCTAGCAACCATAGGAAGGGGTAGAGTGGGTTTGGAGCCTCTCAACAAGCTGTATTCCCAGTCAGTTTTCACTCTTTAACCTTTCTAGCAACTCCCTGACAGCTTTATTTGCAGAACTTGTTATTTGACCCGATTCAGAACTTACTTAGTGGGAAAGACCCTATCTTCAGGGTGTTTGTTGAAAACAGCCAGCGGCAATTGCTTAACATTGCAGCTACATGAGGCAGCAATACAAGTTGGGGGCAAATAAAAGTTTGGCCATAATATTTTAAAGGAAAAAGTGGGGAATAAGATGTTCACAGGGGCTCTGAAAAGCTCTGACATATTCCTGGAGATCTAGAAAGCTATGCATATGTGCAGGGAGAGGCACATGCCCAAAAAAGGCATGGAAAGCCCCTGGTCTCTCACCTCTGGTTTATCCCAAGGCCCTGAGCAAGCAGGAAGTGAAGGTCAAGGCAGAGTTGTAAATCGCTGGAGCACTGAAGGCATGTCTTAACACACATACAGAACCTTTTGGCAATGGGTTGAACACTTATTGGCATTCAAGGCATTTAAAGAAATGCCTGTCCAATCATGGCCTGATAACTAAGCCAAGAGCAGAAACTTCAGTGATTATACATGACAGGAAATATAGACTTTATATAATTAGTCCAAGAAAATCACTAAACAAACAAACAGCAATAGCAATAAGAACAAAATTGGGAGGGAGGATCTGATTGCCAGAGTGCAACATTATATGATTAAAATGTCCAGTTTTCAACAAACAATTATGAGACATGCAAGGTACAGGAAAGTAAGACCCATACATTGTAATAAAGCAGCCAACAGGAACTATCCCTGAGGAAGCCCAGAGGTTAGAATTTTTAGACAAATACTTTATTAATTAATTTATTTTTGGAACAGGGTCTTGCTCTGTTGCCCAGGCTGAAGTGCAGTGGTGTGATCATGGCTCACTGAAGCCTTGACCTCCCAGGTTCAAGTGATCCTCCCACCTTAGTTCCCAAGTAGCTGGGACTACAGGTATGAGCCACCATGCCCAGCTAATTTTTGTAGGTTTTTGTAGAGACAGGGTTTCACCATGTTGCCCAGGCTGGTCTCAAACTCCTAGGCTCAAGCAATCTGCCCTTCTCTGCCTACCAAAATGCTGGGATTATAGGAGTGAGCCACTGCAGCTGGCATAGATAAAGACTTTAAATGAGCAATTATAAATATGTTCATAGAACTAAAGGAAACTATGTCTAAAAAATTCAAGAAAAGTATGAGAATGAAGTCACACCAAAAAAATCAATAAAGGATTTCAAATTATATTTTTAAAAACCCATGAAATTCTGAAGTAGAAAAGAACAATAAGTAAAATTTAAAAATACCTGGAACAAGCTTCTCTAACCTGCGACCCACGGGGCACATGCAGCCCAGGTTGGCTTTGAATTAGCCTGCAAATTTGTAAACTTTCTTATTATGAGATGTTTTTGCTTTTTTTTTTTTTTTCTCATCAGCTATCGCTAGTATTAATGTATTTTATGTGTGGCTCAAGACAAGTCTTCTTCCAATATGGCCCACGGAAGCCAAAAGATTGGACACCCCTGACCTAGAGGAACTCAACAACATATCTCATTTGGTGGGACGAAAAAAAATCAGTATACTTGAATATAGGCCAATTGAGATTATCTAGCTCAGAAGCAGAAAGAAAAAAGAATGAAGAAAAATGAACAGAGCTTAAGAGACCTGTGGGAGCCATCAAGCATACCAGTATATGTATAATGGGAATCTGAGAAGGAGAGTAGAGATGGAACAGGACAGAAAAATATTCAAGAAAATGCCCCTAAATTTCCTAAATGTGCTCAGTAATGAAAAACATTATTGAGCACATCTTAAGAAGCTCAGTAAACTCCAAGTAGTATGAACACAAAGTGTATGATCTATACAAAGACACATCATACTCAAACTTTTGAAAGCCAAAGAAAAAGAAAGGATCTGAGAAGCAATGAGAGAGAGAGAGAAGTAACTCGTCATATATAAGGAATCCTTAATAAGATCACCACATAACTTCTGAAACCATGAAGGACAGAAGGCAGTGAGATGATATATTGTGTTAAAAGAAAACAACTATCGACCAAAAAATTGCATGTCCAGCAAAACTATCAACTTCTAAAATGATCAACTTCAAAAATGAAGGAGAAATTGAGACATTTTCAGATAAACAAAAACTGAGAGGATTCATCACTAACAGGTTTGTCCTACAAGAAATACTAAAGGGAGTCCTTCAGTCTGAAATGAAACAAGACAAGACAGTAATATGAATTAACATGAACAGATAAAGAGCACTGGTAAAAGTCACTACATAGGTAAACATAAAAGACAGCATAAATGTATTTTTGTTTGTAATGATTTTGTTTTCCTATCTAATTTAAAAGACAACTGCACATTTGTGGGGATAGGGGATATATGGGAACTCTTTATAATTCCGTCTCAAAAAAAAATAAGAAAAAGAAAAAATAAAAGAAAAAGAAAACACAAAGCACAATGGCAGACATAAATCCTGTTCTATCAGCAATTACATTAAATATAAATGGATGAAATGCTTCATTAAAAGGAAGAGATTGGCAGAATGGATTAAAAAAGAAAACTACAACACAATCCAACTATATGCTGTCTATGTGAGACATACTTTAAATTCAAATGTACAAAAGGCTTTGAAAATAAAGGGATGGAAAAAGAGATAACATGTGAACCCTAACTGAAAGATAGCTGGAGTGGCTATACTAATTTATGAATAGACACTAAGATAAAAATTATGAGAGACAAAGAAGGACATGTTATAATGATAAAAGTGTCTATCATCAGAAAGAAATAACAATTATAAGCATGTGTATCTAATAACAGTCCGGGTGTGGTGGCTCATGCCCATAACCCCCGCATGTTGGGAGGCTGAGGCAGGCAGATTGCTTGAATCCAGGAGCTCAAGACCAGCCCAGGCAACATGGTGAAACCCCGTCTCAACTAAAAATACAAAAAATTAACTGGGTGTGGTGGCATGCACCTGTAGTCCCAGCTACTCAGGGGGCTGAGGTGGCAGAATCAGCTGAGCTTGGGAGGTTGAGGCTGTAGTGAGCCCTAAGGCTGTAGTGAGTTGAGACTGCATCACTGCACTCTAGCCTGGTCAACTGGAGTGAGACCCTGTCTCAAAAGAAAAAAAAAAAAAGCACATGTATCTAATAACAGCTCCAAAATGCATGAAGCAAAAACTAACAGAATTGAAGGAACAAACAATAATAACTGGCAACTTCAATACCCTACTAGCAAGAATGCATAGAACTATTAAGTTTGACTGGGGCCCAACCTAGCATGCAACTGATAAAGAAACTCACATTCTGTGTGTTGAAGCTCTGCACACACAATGTGAAGTGGCAAGTGAAAGGTGAGGTACTCCTGGCTTTAGCTCTATTCCTAAGAATTCACGTTCACATCCCAGAAGCACAAGGCCCATCAAGTCACAGGCAGATGGAGGCCTGGATTCTGTGCCAGTTCCCTGTTCTAAAAGGAATACCATAGATTACAGGGGTTTGCTTAAGAGAGAGAGGCATCTGGTACCCACGGACAGAGAAAAACTTGGTTTGTTCGTAGGAAGAAGGACAGTAGAAGTGGCCAGACAGATGTCCGCAGCAGAGAATGCTGGCTGTCCCCGTTATCTAGCTTCCTTCCTTTCTTTTCATGATAGAACCCTCTGAGTCTTACCTAGGTTGAGGGATGCCCATTTAGACGCTATCTTTCCCAGCCTCCCTTGCAGCAGGGTGTGGCTAATGGCATGAGCAGAGGTAAGGTGGGACCTTTAGGTTATGTCTTTATAAGTAAGCTGCATGCCCTATTTCTTCTATCCCCTTTTGGTATCTCTGAGCCTGTTTGGGCTATACAGATGAGGGTGTCACCTTAGGGGAGAGCTGAGGAAAAGACTGCTTGGTCCTGGATGACTTTATGGAGAAGAGCCACCCTGGACTGATGCCCTGGACTGTTTTGAGAGAACTAAACAAATATTTAAGCCACCACATTTGGGGATTCTTTGTCACAGCACATTATGCTAACTTACAGTGTCATCAAACAGCAAAGCTGGGCTGGGCACAGTGGCTCATGCCTGTAATCCCAGCGCTTTGGGAGGCTGAGGCGGGCGGATCACGAGGTCACGAGATTGAGACCAGCCTGACCAACATGGTGAAACCCCGTCTCTACTAAAAATACACAAATTAGCTAAGCATGGTGGCACATACCTGTAATCCCAGCTACTCGGGAGGCTGAGGCAGGAGAATTGCTTGAACCCTGGAGGTGGAGGTTGCAGTGAGCCGAGATTGCGCCACTGCACTCCAGCCTGGTGATGGAGCGAGACTCCATCTAAAACAAACAAACAAACAAAAAACCCAGCAAGGCTGGTAGGAGGGAAATGAGATGGGCTTTATGATTGGAGCACTGACTGATAGGATGGTATATAAGAAGTCTGGTGGAGAAGAAAGCGAATGCTTTCTACCAGCAGAGCTGCTGCACAGCCGACAGGGCCCTGCGCGTCCTGTTTTTGCAGAGGGTGGACAGGCCAGCTTCGCATGCCTAAAGGGAACAGTGCTTCATGTATGTGTGCTCATGAGTCTCTCCAGCAGTTAAGGGGACAGCAGAGTCCACAGAGCTTGTTTTGAGTGATATGGTGGCTTAAGGATTACTTGTATAGGGGACGTCATTGTTGCCTCACCCCAACCCCCTTTACTGGGGGTAGTGAGTTGAATGGTGGCCCCCCCAAAAGTTATGTCTACATCCCAGAACCTGTGAAACTGACTTTATTTGGAAAAAGGGTCTTTGCAGGATCTGGAGATGAAATCAATTTGGATTATCTGAGTGGGCCCTAAATTTAGTGATGAAGTCCTTATAACAATAGGATAGAGGGAGATTAGACAGAAGAGGAAGAGGCACTGTGAAGATGAAGGCAGGGATTGGAGTGATGCCGCCACAGGGACTGCCAACAGAATCCAGAAGCTAAGAGAGGCAAGGGAAGATTCACCCCTAGGGCCTTTGGAGGGAGCACGGACCTGCCAACACCTTGCTTTTAGACTTGGCCTCCAGAATGGGGAGATAATTAACATCTGTTTTAAACCACCAAGCTTGCAGTAATTTGTTAGGACAGCCTTAGGAAACTAATACACTAAGCAAGTGCATTCATCCCCCAGCTGCAAAGTGCCCTCAGCCACAGGGCACCTGGAAATGCCAGGGGTGGTTATTCCCTCACCATAGGGCTGGCCGGCAGCCTCTGACTGACTTGCTCTCAAAGAGCTGCCAAAGACTGTGTCCTTGCCACAGAGTGGGATCCACATTCCAGAGCTTCCAGTGGCTCTGAGGCTGGAGGTTGGACTCCAGTTCAATGCACATCCTTACTCAGCTCTGCTGCCTGCCTCCTCCTGCTTCCTTCACTCCCTGTGAGGGAGGAAATTGAATCCCCACCTCAGGTTCTGCTTCTAGAGGGTAACAATCTCTATAGATAGTAACAACCTCTACTTACTACTCTTTGTGTAATAGGATGTGAAAACGGACTCTTTTTGTCTTGGTTTCAGCTGAGGTCTCAAAGTTAAGAACGACAATGTAGCTGCTGGACCACCTATGCTACCCGGTCATAGACTGTCCTTGAGCTCATCATCTCTCTCTAGGGTGAAAAATAGGAACTGTGGTAGGTGGAGCTCTCAAGATGCTGTAGCTCCCCCCATCTCAATGGGGAGGAAGTGTGGGGTGTGTCTGTCTCACTTCGGCCTAGTAGGGGAGCTTCAAAAGGACTGCTTGCAGAAGTTGACAAGCATCCACTAGAATTCAAAGAGCAGAGAGATCCATACTAAATTCATACTTGTGAAGTTTATCAGCAAGAGGCTGGGGAAAGGCAAGCTCATCCTGAGTAGCTAAGCGGGGCCAGACATTGGTGGGGGTGGCTTTAAGAACCGGATGCTGTTTCAGAGCTGATTAGGGCAAGGACCATGCCTGTTTTTCATCAGCCAGATTTGGGTTCTTTGAGCGTGGCTGGCTGTGAACTGTTGCGAAAATGCGCTCAATAGGAGTCGGCGAAGGCTTTCAGTCAGGAGTTCTTAACCTTTTTTTTTTGGTGCCATGGACCCATTGAACCCATTCTCAGCATATTGTTTTCATATGTACAAAATAAATTCATAGAATTATAAAATAAACCAATTATATTGAAAGTTATCAAAAAACATTTTAAAATGGTTATATAGTTATATTCACACTTTATTAATTTATTAAGTAATAAGATCTAGTAGCTGTTCTAACAACTACAGTAATCTTGAAGTGGCAGTGAGTATAATGGGATTTCAAAATATCTGCAACAGCTCTACTATGATATGGAAATTAACCATTCTAGTGATAAAATTACACAGAGTATTAATACTATGGTGATCTGTTGCCCATTCCCACCATTGAAGGAATGCTAAAGATTAGCTAAAGGTTTCCAGGACTGGAAACTGTGTAAAAAAAAAATGGAATTTTCCCATCTAAGTTCCCAGAACTCTACCTATGGACCCACAGGTATTCTTGTAGACCTCAGGTTAGGAATCCTGCTGTGGATAAAGAATCAGGTCTAGAAGCTGAGGGGATCACAAAAGGCCATCAGAGGGTCCTGGATGGGGGATTTGAGAGATCTACAAAAGCTCAGAAAGAAAGCCAGGGTTATTCACCATTTCCAGAGGCACAAATGACAGATTGCCACTGTGTCACCTAGGAACACCTTGTCCCTTCAACCCCCCGCCCCCGAACCTCTTTTCCCTTCAGCCACCTCAACCATGGAGGTGACTCTAGACTACAGGTAATAAGTAGGGGTGAAGGTGAATGAAGAAAGGGAGAAGACCCTTTTACCAAACCCATCCTCACCACTAAACCCAAGGCAGGACCAAGCCAGGATGACGAGATGCTTTAGAATCAGACAATCTCTGGAGTTTGTTACACTCCTCTGGACATTTTCTTACCTAAGTGATCAGAGGATTTTTATTTCATGAGAGTGGTGGAAAAAAGATGAAGGAATAGTCCATTATTTCATCCAGGGATGGAGAGAAATGATCTCACCGAGCAGGTTTATAGGGCAGTTGTTAGAAATGGTAAAGCTGCTTTTGTTTGCACCCTTCTTAGTGCAACTTATACAATAAATGAATTACATTTTCAAAGCACTTTAAAGACTTGGTATCATAAATATTCCATTTCCTCCAGGTTAATCTGAGTTAAACATGATTTCAATAAAAGTGACACAATTAATAGGGTGAAAAGGCAACCTGTAGAATGGGATAAAATATTTGCAAGTCATATATCTGAGGAGGGGTTACTATCTAGAATATAGAAGGAACTCCTAACACTCAACACTCAGAAAACCCCCAAATAATCCAATTTAAAAATAGGCAACGGATCTCAATGAACATTTCTCCAAAGAGCATGTACAAATGGTCAAGAAGCATATGAAAAGATGTTCAACATCATTAGAGAAATGCAAATCAAAATTATAATCAAATATTACCTCACACCCATTAGGATGACTACTATAAAAAAGATGATAAGTGTTGGCAAGGATGTGGGGAAACTGGAAACTTTGTTGGTGGGATTTTTAAATGGTGCGACCTTTTAAATAGAAAACAGTATGGTGGTTCTTCAAAAAATTAGAAATAGAACTACCATTGATTCAGCAATTCCACTTCTAGGTATACAGCTGACCCTTGAAAAACACAGGTTTGAACTGTCTGGGTACACTTATATGTGGATTTATTTTAACCAAATGCAGATTAAAAAATACAGTATTCAAAGGATGCAAAACCTGCTTATCAGAGGGATGACTTTTCATATATGCATTTCTGCAGGGACAACTGTGGCACTTGAGTATTCACAGCTTTTGGTACATGTGTGGGCAGGATGGGGAACCTGGCCAATCCCTGCATATACTGAGGGATGACTGTATATCCAAAAAAATGGAAAGGAGTAAGATCTCAGAGAGATATCTGCACACCCATGTTCATAGCCAAGAGATAGAAGCAACTGAAGGGTTCATTGATGGATAAATGTAGTATATACATACAATGCGATGTATGTATATAATAAAATATATATACATGTTATAAACATATAATATATAATAAAAGGTGGTATATACATATAATGGAATATTATTAAGCCTTAAAAAGGAAGGCAATCCTGTCACATGTTACATGAATGAACCTTGAGGACAGTATGCCAAGTAAAATAAGCCAGTCGCAAAAAGATAAATGCTATGTGAGTCCACTTATGTGAGGAGTCTAAAGTAGTCAAATTCATAGAAACAGAGGGTAGGATGGCAGCTACTACGGGCTGGGGGGAGAGGGAGATGGGGAGCTGCTTAATAAATATAGAGTTTCGGGTTTGCAAGATGAAAAAGTTCTGGAGATCTGTTGCACAACAATTTGAATATAACACTACCGAACCATACTCTCATGAATGTGAAGATGGAAAATTTTACGTTATGTGTTTTTTACCACAACCTAAAAAAATGACACCAAGAAGTTATGTTTTGGTGATCTAGATAATCTAATTGTAAAGTTTGTGTAACAAATAATCAAGAATATTTGGGAAAATTCTAAAATATAAGAGTAATGGGGGAAAAGGACTAGATCTACCAGTTATTAAAACACGTTTAAATCTTCAAAAATTGAAACAGCATCATATTTCTTTTTTTTTTTGAGACAGGGTCTTTCTTTCTCACCTAGGCTAGAGTGTAGTGGTACAATCATAGCTCACGGTAACCTTGAACTCCTGGGTTCGAGTGATCCTCCAACTCAGCCTCTTGAGAAGCTGAGGCTACAGGAGTACACCATCACCCCTGGCTAATTAAAAAACATTTTTGTAGAGACATGGTCTCACCATGTTGCCCTGGCTGTTCTCAAACTCCTGACTTCAAGTCAGGATTCTCCTGCCTCAGCCTCTCAGGTAGCTGGTACTACACCTCACCTCCTGCCTTGCCCTCCCAAAGTGCTGGGATTACAGGCATGAGCCACTTTGCCTGGCCACAGCATCATATTTCCCCATGAAAAACAGATGGAATAATAAAATTGAATGAAAAGTCCAGAAAAACATACAATTACATTTGGGAACTTGGAATATGATGTGATTGATATTTCCAATTGATGGAAGAAAGATGGATTATTAAATAAATGCTCTTGGGGCAACTGGAAGCCATAAGAAAAAAAAATACATGTAGAGCCTTATTTTCTACCTTTCACCAGTGTAAATTCTGAATGAATGAGTTCCTCTTCTAGGATAATAGCAGACTACATATCTTGAGGTCCCCCCGGCAATAGAACTAGATACCAGGCTTTCATAAAAACGGTAAGGGAAATTGCCAAAGATACTAAAAAACAAAAATAAGTGAGTTGAAATCTAATTGGGAGCCATAAGCTATGAGCTAACACAAATACACAAATATCAGAACTGTACTTGTGGCAAATGCCAATATAAACACCGGGATGGAGAATAGGAACCACCTGAGAGGAGGGCCCTGGATCCTCTGAGGAACCTAGAAAAGTCTGAGGTTGGTAGCACCCCTTGTTCCAGGCAGAATCAGACAAAATTCTTCTGGGGGAAAACATACCCGGTTTGGGGCCAGATTTGGTTCAACCAAATATAAACTAAAATAACCACCACCACATCAATAACAAAAAGACCAAACACAGAAACAAGCCACCATGAGTAATAGCAGAAATAATGGACAACAGATTTAAAGCCCCAAGGACTTCAGATATTGAAATTACCAAATACAGAATGTAAAATAACTACAAAACATTTAAAGAAATAAAAATCAACTTAGAAATATGAGCAAGCAAGAAGAGACCATGCAAAATAACTAGACATATTGCAAAAGATCTAAATAAAACTTTCAGAAATAAAAAATAGAATCATTGAAATAAAAAACTCATGGGATAAATTAAAAATTAGATACAGCTAAAGAAATAATTAATGACTTGAAAGATGAATGAAAAACAATTACCCAGAATGCAATATGAAGAGAAAAATAGGTGGGAAATATAAAATTGTTTAGGATACATGGAGGATGAAATAAAAAGATCTAAATTGGAGTGTTCTTTGGAGTGCCAGAAGAGAAAAGAGAGAAAGCAAATGAGATGTAACATTAGGAGAGACAAAGGCTAAGAAATTTGCAGACGTGGTAAAAGATGTATATCCATAGATATAAATAAGCCAACACATTCTAAGCAGAATTTTTAAAAATCCACACCTAGACATACCAGAGTGAAACTGAAGAACTTTAAAGACAAAAAGAAGCTCTCATATACTGCCAGAGAGAAGAGTGAGTTTATCTACAAAAGAATGACAATTATGCTGAACTTTTCTTTTTCTTTTTTGAGAAAGGATCTCACTCTGTTGCCCAGGCTGGAATGCAATGGTGCCATCATAGCTCACTGTAATCCCCAGCTCCTGGGCTCAGATGATTCTCCTGCCTCAGCCACCCAAGTAGCTGGTACTACAGGCATGCACCACAACACATGGCTAATTTTTTAATTTTTGTAGAGATGGGGTCTCACTATGTTGCACAGGCTGGTCTCAAACTCCTGGGCTCAGGTGATTCTTGTACCTCGTCATCCCAAAGTGTTGGGATTAAAGGCATGAGCCATCATGCCTGGCATGCTGGACTTTTCAACAACAAAAATGGAAATATATTCAAAGTACTAAGTAAAAAATAACTGTCAATGTGGAATTGTGTTCCCAGAACAACCATCTTTCAAGAAACGGAGTCATACAAAGACAAAAGTGAGAACACAATTTATTACCAGCCAATCTTTTCAAGGAACTTCTAAAAGATGTACTTTAGAAAGAAAGAAAATGGCCCTCCAAAAAGCTGCAAAATGCAAGAAGGAAAAGGTGAGCAGAAAATTTAGCAGAGTTAAAAAAAATTATTCATATATAATAAAAAAGCATAACAATGATATGCAGCTTTAAAAAATAGGGCAGGTGTGATAGAATGGCCTAAGATCAGTAGTGTACTGGTTAATGTTTAACAACCATTTCCAAATTTTCAGGGTGCAAAACTCTGATTTATAGTGTTGTTGATTTCCATGGTTATATGTTCCCAGCATGGTTGATTTCAAACTGCCAATGGGTGTCACTGAATATAAAACTGAGAAGAGATGCTAACAATCAGCTCTTGTGAGCCAGTATAAACCAGCTCCAACACATCATTGCTAAAAACTGTAATATTAGTCAGGAAAGGAATTATGACTTTCTTAAGAATATGTAGTAAATTTCAAGGGCAATAACTCAAAGGATAGAATTGAAGTGAATACAGTTCCAAACCATTAAAGAAGAGAAAATGAGATAAGAAACACACACACATCAAATGAAATACTTAATTTTTTAAATGACAGGAAATGAAAACAAAGAAACATAGAAGTGGAACAAATAGAAAGCACAAAGCAATATGGTAGAAAATGGTTAAAATATATTGTACATATTAAAGATATAAAATTTTTATTTGTCACCTATACACCAATAAAATTGAAAAAAATATAATCTCAATAAAGTAAATGAACTAAACTTGCCAGTTAAAAAATAGACTAGATTTAAAAAATCCAGCAACGTGCTATTAAAAGAGAAACATCTGGCCGGGCGCGGTGGCTCAAGCCTGTAATCCCAGCACTTTGGGAGGCCGAGGCGGGTGGATCACGAGGTCAGGAGATGGAGACCATCCTGGCTAACACGGTGAAACCCCGTCTCTATTAAAAATACAAAAAATTAGCCGGGCGTGGTGGCGGCGCCTGTAGTCCCAGCTACTCGGGAGGCTGAGGCGGGAGAATGGCGTGAACCCGGGAGGCTGAGCTTGCAGTGAGCCGAGATTGCGCCACTGCACTCCAGCCTGGGCGACAGAGCGAGACTCCGTCTCAAAGAAAAAATAAAAAAAAATAAAAATAAATAAAAGACAAACATCTAAACATAAGGACACATAATGGTTGAAAATAAATGCAGAGTAAAAAGTATCTGAGGCAAATATCACCAAAAGTGTTTTGAGGGAGCCTGTAAATAATATCAGATAAAACAGACTTTGAAGCAAAAGTATTATTAGAAATAAAGTATCAATGAATACTGATAAAAGGTTCAATTCAGAAGGAAGTTATAAAGTTTTTAAAAGCCTGTCCACAATTTATCGAATAGTAATAATATATATGTGTCAAAAATTGATGGAACAACAGGGAAAAGCTGAAAACTCATGCGGGAGATTATAACCTCATCTATCAGTTTCCAATAGATCAAGCAGACAATTATAAGTAAAGATAGACTTGAACAACACAATCTTGATTTAATGGACATGTGTAATATAGTAGATCCAATAAGACACACGATTAGGTTAGAAATTAGTGACAAGAGATAACTAGAAAAATACCACATATTTGGAAATTAAGAAACACACTTCTGCTCTAGCCAAGATGGAGTAACGGAGACCACATTTACCTGTATCCTGAAAACAAAACAAAACAAAACATACCAGATGAAATAAATAAAACATTTTTCAAGACAATAGATATTACACAATGAAGGGCAGTGATCCCCAAGAGATGAGAAATAAACAGGCTAAACCTTACAAATATCCCAGCATAATGCTCTGAGTGTTTTCAGGCTGTGGCATAGGGAGAAGGAACTGAGGCACTTCCCAGCAGACTCCCAGAGTTGAGGAGATAGAGCTCAGGGTCCAGGGAGACCAAGGTAGCTAGATTTCTTGGAGAGGAGACAGCTGCATACAAAGAGTATCCTAGAGATTTGCGGAGGAACCTCCTTGAACATTTAGTAGAGTACTGATAAAGGCATGCATGTGAGAAAACTATCTGAAGCCAAGTAAAGAATTACTCAAAACGAATAAAGGAAGCATGACTTGGTGCTCACATAAGGATGAAAATAGTGCTTGTTTCTACCAACTAGACTGAAAAAAAAAAACACCTCGTAATTCATAGGGCATTGGGTAGAGTACTCAGGAAAGTCTTACTTTAGTAGTGAGGAATAATTAGCCCCAGACTGAGTACTCTGTGGACCATCTAAGAAATCATAAAAGCAAGGCTCAATGAGGGCAGTGGCACATACCTGTAGTCCTGGTTACTTCAGGAGGCTGAGGTGGGAGGACTGCTCGAGCCCAGGATTTCAAGTCCAACCTGGACAACATAGTGAGACTCCCATCTCAAAAAAGAAAAAACAAAAACAAAAACAAGACCAAGGCTCAAAAAGACAAAACTGGTTCCAAGTAATTTAACTACATCCCAGAACAAAGCTCAAGATTTACAGAAATACAAAAATATCTACTACCCAACAAGAAAAAGTTCACAATATCTGACATCCAATTACACATTACCAGGCATGCCAAGATGCTTAAAAAAAGATCTGTAAGGAAGAGAATAATCAGTCAATTGAAACTGACTCAGAACAGACACAGATGTTAGAATCAGCAGAAAAATATAATAGAAGAGTTATTATAACTGTGTTTTATATGTTCAGAAAGTTAGAGACATGGGGCCAGGTGCAGTGGCTCACACCTGTAATTCCAGCACTTTGGCAGGCTGAGGCAGGCGGGTCACCTGAGGTCAGGATTTCGAGACCAGCCTGGCCAACATGGTGAAACCCTGTCTCTACTAAAAATACAAAAATTAGCTGGGCATGGTGGCACTTGCCTGTAAACCCAGTTACTCGGGAGGCTGAGGCAGAAGAATCACTTGAACCCAGGAGGTGGAAGTTGCAGTGAGCCGAGATCGTGCCACTGCACTCCAGCCTGGGTGACAGAGCGAGACTCCATCTAAAAAAAAAGAAACTTAGAGACAAGGAAGATATAAAAAAGATACAAATCAAATCAAACTTGTAGAGATAAAAACTACAATGTCTGAGATTTTTAAAATTGCATGGAATGGGATTAATGGCAGATGAAAACTGGCAGAAAAAAAGATTAGTGAACTTGAAGGCATAACAGTTAAAACTATTCAGAACGAACACAGAGGGAAAAAAATCCAAAAAAAAAAAAAAAAAAAGAAGAGAATCAGTGAGCTGCAGAAAAACTTCAAGAAGTTCCAATATGTGAGTAATTGGAGTCCCCAAAGAAGAGGGGTAGAAAAAAATAACTGAATAAATCATGGTCAAAAACTTTCCAAATTGAATGAAAACTGTAAACTCCCAGAAACAAAAAGATCAATGTACCCTAAGCACAAGAAACATGAAGAAAACTCCATCAATGTACATCATAATCAAGTTGCTCAAAATGAATTATAAGAATATCTTAAAAGCAGCTAGAAATGAAAGACATGTTATGTGCAGAGGAACAAAGATAAGGATAAACATCAGATTTCTTATCAGAAACACAGGAGAGAAGACAGTGGAGCGACATCTTACAAACCAATAAAAAAGAAACCCAACTATCACCTATAATTCTATACCCAGCAAAATAGCTTTCACAAACAATACAAGAAATATTTAAGGATGCCCTTCAGGCCTAAGAAAATTGATACTGGATGGAAATTTGGATCAACAGAAAGGAAATGGTAACTACATGGATAAATAGATAAAATATTTTAAATATTATTTAAATCTCATTAAAAGCAATTGACAAAGCAAAATAATAACAATGTATTTTGGATTTTATAACACGTAAAAATAAAGTCTGCGACAGTAATAGCATACAATACAAGAAGGGGTATAATTGAAGGTAGATTGCAGTAAGTTTAGGATATATACAATAAGTTCTAAATAAACAACTGAAATAACAAAATATAGAGTTTTGCTAAGAAGCCAACACAGGAGACAAAAATAAGATAATCTGAAAAACCCAAGTCATCTAAAGAAAGGGGGAAAAAAAATGAAGAAAAAGATAAAGAAAAGAAGAATGGGCCGGGGGCGGTGGCTCACACCTGTAATCCCAGCACTTTGGGAGGCCGAGGCAGGGGGATCATGAGATCAGGAGTTCGAGACCAGCCTGGCCAACATAGTGAAACCCTGTCTTTACCAAAAATACAAAAATTCAGCTGGGCGTGGTAGTGGGTGCCTGCAATCCCAGCTACTTGGGAGGCTGAGGCAGGAAAATTGCTTGAACCTGGGAGGCGGAGGTTGCAGGGAGCTAGTGTGACTATATATTATCAAAGTAGATTTTGTGAATTTTATGATAAAGAAGTCAATTAAACAAGAAGACATAATAATTCTAGACATCCATGTACCTAACAATGAATTTTCAAATTATATGAAGGAAAATTGATAGAACCTCAAGGAGAAATAGACAAATGTACAATAATGGTCAGTGATTTTAATACCCTTCTTTCAATAGTAGAATAAATAGGAAGAAAATCAGCTAAAACAACACTTGAACAACACTATCAATTAACTTGACCTGTTTGATATTTATAGAACATTTCACGCAATAACAACAGAATAAACATTCTTCACAAGCGCAGGCAAAATATTTACCAACGTGGGCCATATTCTATGCCATAAAGCAAGTTTCAATAAATTCAAAAGGATTCAAGTCACACAAAGTACATGTTGTCTGACAAACAATGCAATTAAATTAGAAATTAATAATGAAGGGCTGGGCATGGTGACTCACGCCTTTAATCCCAGTACTTTGGGAGGCTGAGGTGGGCAGATTGCTTGAGCCCTGTAGTTCGAGACCAGCATGGAAAACATGGTGAGACCTCGTCTCTACAAAAAATACAAAAGGCCAGGCACGGTGGTTCATGCCTGTAATCCCAGCACTTTGGGAGGCCAGGGCCTGGATTACTTGAGGTCAGGAGTTTGAGACCAGCCTGGCCAATATGGTGAAACCCCGTCTCTAACAAAAATACAAAAATTAGCTGGGCGTGGTGGTGGGCACCTTTAGTCCCAGCTACTCAGGAGGCGGAGGCAGGAGAATCGCTTGAGCCTGGGAGGTGGAGGTTGCAGTGAGCCGAGATTGCGCCACTGCACTCCAGCTTGGGCAATAGAGCAAGACTCCGTCTCAAAACAAACAAACAAATACAAAAAATACAAAAATTAGCTGGGTATGGTGGCACACACCTGTAGTCACAGCTATTTAGGAGGCTGAGACAGAGGGAGTGCTTGAGCCCAGGAGGTTGAGGCTGCAGTGAGCCATCATAATGCCACTGCACTCCAGCCTGGGTGACAGAGTGAGACTCAGTCTCAAAATAAATAAGTAAATAAAACAAATTGATAATAAAAAGATTCTAGGAGAATCCCCCCAAGTTTTTGGAAATTAAGTAACATGTGGGTCAAAAAAGACCTCAAAAGGGAAATTTGAAAGCATTCTAAACTGAATAAAAATGAAAACATATCAGAATTTTGGGTATGCTCCGAAAGCAGTACTTGAGGAGAAGTGTATGTCTCTAAAAGTCTATTTTAAGACAAAAATGAAAGATTTTAAGCCAATAACTTAGCTTCCACCTTAAGACACCAGAAGGAGAAGGAATTAACCAAAAGTAAGCAGAAGAAAGGAAATAAATACCAAAGTGGAAATCAATGAAACAAAAAACAGAAAAATGATAGAGAAAATCAATGAAACCAAAAGCTGGTTTGTTTAGAAGCTCAATAAAATGGATAAACCTGTAGCCAGATTGATGAGGAAAAAGAGAAGACACAATTTGCCAGTATCAGGAATGAGAGAGGTGACATCACTATAGGTTCTAGAAATACTAAATGGATGATAAGGGAATATTATAAACATTTTATGCCAACAGATTCAACAGCTCATAAGAAATTGACAAATTCTTTGAAACACATAAATTACCAAAGCTCACTCAGAAAGAAATGAATAACCTTCTATATCTATTAGAGAAATTGAGATTACAGTTAAAATCCTTCCAACAAAGAAAACTCCAGCCCCAGATGGCTTTATGGTGAATTCCACCAAACACTTAAAGAAGAAATTATACTGGTTCCACACAAGCTCTTCAAAAAAATTTGAAGAGAAGGAAATGCTTCCCAATCAATTCAAATGAGGCCAGCATTACCCCAATCCCAAAACCAAAGAAATTACAAGAAAACTACAGAAAAATATCCATTATGAACATACATGCAAAAATTCTTAACAAAATGTAAAGTAGAATCAAACAGTATATTTAAAAAGATAATACATCCTTATTAAGTGGGGTTTATCTGGGAAATGTAGAATTGGCTTAACATTAACCAGCCGGGTGCGGTGGCTCACGCCTGTAATTCCAGCACTTTGGAAGGCTGAGGTGGGTGGATCACGAGGTCAGGAGTTCGAGACCAGCCTGACCAACATGGTGAAACTCCGTCTCTACTAAAAATACAAAAATTAGCCGGGCATGGTGGCATGCATCTGTAATCCCAGCTACTCAGGAGGCTGAGGCAGGAGAATCACTTGAACCCAGGAGGCAGAGGTTGCAGTAAGCTGCAATCATGCCACTGCACTCCAGCCTGAGCGACAGAGCGAGACTCTGTCTCAAAAAAAAAAAAAAAGAATGCCCACTACCACTGCGTATATTCAAAGCTGTAACTGAGGTCCTAGCCAGTGCAATAAAGCAAGAAAAAGAAATAAAATATATAAGGACTGGATAGATAAAATAAAACAGTATTTGTTTGTATAAGATGGCTGTCTACATAAAAAAATAAAAACAAGGCAAATCTAAAGACAAAGATCAATGCAAAAATAGTTGCATTTCTCTATAATATAAACAAAGAATTAGAAAACATAACAAAAGATGCCATTTACAATAGCAACAAAATACAAATAGTACCTGGAAATAAGCTACCCATACAACTAAATAGCTCATTTCTTCATCTCTTCAGTGTTTCCTGTAACTCCACTTTCTCAATTTGGCTTAATTGACTACCTCATTTAAAATTGTACATTCCCCCAATCCTAATTTGTTTTATTTTTCTCTATTTTTTCATTTATTACCTTCTAAAGACTTACAATAATTATTTATTCCCCATCCCTATATATTCTCTCTCCAGGAGAACAGGTTTTTTTTGTCTGCTTTGTTTACTCTTGTATTCCTAAAGCCTAGAACCTGGTAAGTGTACTGTTTACCTAGTGCCTGGTACATAGTAGATGCTCAATAAATATTTATTGAATAAATGAATTAGTGAAAGTAATGAGTATTTGTGGCCGTTATTGAAAAAATTATAAAACTATATTGAAAAGCATTAAAGAAGATCTACAAAAATGGTGAGATAAACCATATTCATGGATCAGAAGACTCAGTAGCATAAAGACAAATTCTTCTTCAAATTGACGTATAGGTTCATTGTAATATTGCTTAAAACTCTAAGAGGAGTGTGGTGTTTACATGGAAACACAAAAGGCCAAAATATCCAATATTCAACTGAAGAATGTTCAGGGAAGGTGGAAGACTTGCCCTATACACTTGTCCTTGCATTGGTATTATACAGATATAGTGATTTTAAAAAGTGATGATTACATAGGAGTTATCAAATAGATCAAAGGAATAAAATAGAGAGTCTAGGAACAGACCCACAAATAGCAGAAAACTTGATATAGGACATAGCTGGTACTACAACTCAGTGGGAAAGGATGAGCTATTTAATAAATGGTATTGGAATAATTGGTAGTTCCTAAGTAAAAAATAATTACATTGATTCCTTAATTCACACCATACCCCTAATTAGTTCCATAGGGATGACAAATGTGAAAGGGAAAACTGTGAAACCTTTGGAAGAAAATATAGAAGAATATCTTCATGACCTCAGCAGAGAAAAAGAATTTTTTTTTTTTTTTTTGAGACGGAGTTTCACTCTTGTCGCCCAGGCTGGAGTGCAGTGGCACGATCTCGGCTCACCACAACCTCCGCCTCCTGAGTTCAAGCGATTCTCCTGCCTCAGCCTCCCGAGTAGCTGTGATTACAGGCATGCACCACCACACCCGGCTGATTTTTTTGTATTTTTAGTAGAGACAGGGTTTCTCCGTGTTGGTCAGCCTAGTCTCGAACTCCCGACCTCCGGTGATCTGCCCGCCTCGGCCTCCCAAAGTGCTGGGATTACAGGCGTGAGCCACTGCGCCTGGCAAGGATTTTTTTTTTTTTTTTTTTTAAGACAGGGTCTTACTCTGTTCCCCAGCTGGAGTGCAGTGATGGGATTATGGCTCACTGCACCCTCAATTTTCCAGGCTCAAGCAATCCTCCCACCTCAACCTCTGAGTAACTGGGACTATAGGCATGAGCTATTGTGCCTGGCAAGATTTTTAAAGTAAAATACAGAGTAAGGCCGGGCGCGGTGGCTCATGCCTGTAATCCCAGCACTTCGGGAGGCCAAGGCAGGCAGACCACTTGAGGTCAGGAGTTCGAGACCAGCCTGGCCAACATGGCGAAATCCCATCTCTGCTAAAAATACAAAAATTAACAGGGTGTGATGGCGTGCGCCTGTAATCCCAGCTACTCGGAAGGCTGAGGCACAGGAATCACTTGAACCAGGGAGGCAGAGGTTGCAGTGAGCCGAGATTGCGCCACTGCACTCCAGCCTGGGCGACGGAGTGCAACTGTGTCTCAAAAATAAATAAATAAATAAATAAGCCAACAAATTAAAAGATGTTCAACTTCAATAGTAATCTGGAAAATGCAAATTAAGGCCATCACAAAATGCCCTGTACACCCACCAGATTGGCAAACGATAAGAAGTGTGACATTATTAAGTGTTGGTGAGGATGTGGAGCGATAGAAACTCAGTATTGTGGGTGGGAGTGTTACTTAGTCAAACCACCTTGGAAAACAGTTGACATCAACTTGTTAAGATGATCATGTGCGTATCCATGACCTGACAATTCCTGACCTAGTTTATATCCTAAACAAACTCTTGTACTTACTCAAATTAAGAGACACAAACAAGAATGCTCATAGCAGCTTTGCTTATAATAGCAAAAACTAAATATGACAAACTACAGCTAAATACAACAAACTACAGCTAAATACAACAAGATAGATAAATCTTAGAAATATGCTGAATTTAAAAAGAGCATTGCAGAAGGTTGCTGCAACATGGTATCATTTTTTTTTATAAAGTTAAACACAAGCACAACTAAACTACACCAACACACTTTTTTTAGGATTATGCAATCTGTGATGAATTTTTTTTTAACAAGCCAGGTCATGATAAACACAAAACTTGGTTTACCTGTAGGAGAGGGTTAGGCAGTGGTATGGGGACTGGGGGGAGCTGGCTTCAATGGTATTTCTCATGTTCTAATTTTAAGTTTGTTGGTAGGTTCACAGGTGTACATTGGTTATTATACCTTATAATTTTTAATTATACCTTATAATTTTTATTTTGTTTTACTTTTCTTTTGCATGTATCATATAGGATATAGTAACAAGATATTTTTCAAATGAATCAAACATTTAAATGTAAACAATGAAACCATCTAAATACTGGAAGCAACCACAGGATACATTTAAAAAATAATATTGGAGTGATAAAGGCCTTTCTAAATATAATGAAAACCCGGAGTATGTAAAAGATTTAGGAACTGGGCAAATTTCACCATAGGCAAAGTTAAATGACTTGAAAAAATATGGACAACTCATCACAAAGGGATAATTTCATTAATACACACTCCTACAAATCAGTTTTTTAAAAAGTCAATAATTTACATACAAATAAGCACATGGTGGGGTGTTGTGGCTCATGCCTGTAATCCCAGCACTTTGGGAGGCCAAGGCAGAAGAATTCCTGGAGCCCAGGAGCTCGAGACCAGCCTGGGCAACATGGCAAAACCCCATCTCTACAAAAAATACACAAGTTAGCTGGGCTTGTTGGCGTGAGCCTGTGGTCCCAGCTACTTCAGAGGCTAAGGTGAGTGGATGGCTTGAGCCCAGGAGGTCGAGGTGCAGTGAGCTATGATTGCGCCACTGCACTCCAGCCTGGGCAACAGAGCAAGACCCTGTCAAAAAAGAAGAAAGAAAGAAAAGAAAGAAAGAAAGAGAGAGAGAAAGAGAGAAGGAAAGAAGGAAGGAAGGAAAGAAGGAAGGAAGGAAGGAAGGAGAAAAGAAAAATAAGCACAGGATATGAACAGACAGTTCACAGTAAAGGAAACACAAATAGCCTTTAAATAGCCCTGGTGGGCTCAACCTCACTCAGAGTAAGAGAAACGGAAATCACTGGGATACTGCTGTTCGCTTACACGATGGAGAAATATGAGAAAAAATAGTTACGGTAACCACTGCTTGTTGCTGCCATTTATCTTCCCCAAGATCACTTACCTTCACTCCATGAAGCTTTACTCCTGGATCATTATATACACCCTTGAACATTTGTCCCTGTCATAATTCTTGGTTATTTCAATGTCAGTATAGACAGATAATTATTCCAATGCACTCTCTTCTCCATTCCGTGAGCATCTTTTCTCCAACGATCTTGTCTCCACCTTCCCTGGCCACGCATTACCAATTCAACCCTGAATCCCATCTGCAGGCAACCCATTCTCCATCCACCTAACATCCAGTTCAACCCCTGTCTCATATCTCAACTCCAACAATCCTTTGGCCCCATCAGAATTGATGTCCACACTCTCATCATACTCGTCTCTTTACCCAGCTTAAATCCTTCCATTTTTAAAAAATAAATATCCCTTGCACATACATTTCAGTCTCTTGCCCTCTCATGTTTCCTTCTACTCAACTGACAAACCTCTAACTCTGGTTTTATGCAACCACTCACCTGTTCTGCACCTGCACCTGTGCAGCTCAACATGGCTGGAGAAAGTTATCACCAAATTTATGATCATAAACGTCAAGGGTACCCTCAGTGCCGCTTGTCAATCACATGACATTCATCCCCCTGGTTCACTCACTCTCTTGGATAACTATATCACGCCCTCTAGTGTCTCCCTCTCTATCCTTATCTTCCACTGTTGACCTTGGTTCTCAGTTCATGGAGAAAACAAAGCAATCAGAAGACAACATCCAAGCTCCCACTTGGATATACCCATTTATCCACTTCTGTGTCCATGTCTCTGTCTTCCCTGCTTTTCCATGGATGAACTGTCTATGCTCCCAGCTAAAACCAGCCTCTCTACCTATGCACTAGGTCACATCCCTTTTGCCACCTGAAGGATATTGCTTCAGCAATTCTCCCCTCTCTCTTGCATCCTCATTTTCCCCTTCCCTCCTGGCTGTTTCTCGTCAGCATATGAGCAAGCTGTATTTTTTCTTGGCACTACACAGTGCTCCAGACATCATCTGATTCCTTTGATTTCTTTAGAGCAAAACTCAAAAGAGTTCCTCTACTCACTGTCTCCAATCTCTCTCCTCCTGTTCTCTCTTAGACACAATTCTATCAGTCTTCTGCCCCTCAACTCCACTGAAATGACTCCCGTGACAGTCACCAATATCCTCCTCATTGCTAAATCTAATGGTCAGTCCCTAGTCTTTGTTATCATACCCATGAGCAGCACTGGACACAGATGCCTCCTTCTTGGAACATTTTCTTATCTTGGCTTCAGGACACGACACTCCCCTGACTTCCCTCTTACCTTGCTGGTCACTTCTTCTCATTCTCCTTTGCTGGTTCCACATCTCCATGACCTCTAAATACTAGACACCTCAGGATTCAGTTCTTAGGCCTCTTCTGTTTGCTATCAACACTCATCCCCTCGATGATTTCATTCATTCAAATTTACATCTGCAGCCTGAACCTTTCTCTTGAGTCCCATCCTCATGTTTTCTGTGGCTTTTTCAGCTCCTCACTTGGATGTTTAGTGAGCATCATAAACATAACATGCTCAAACCAAACTCCAGATCTTTCTCCTCCAAAACCTGCTCTTCCCCAAATCACACCCTTCTCAGGAAACTCCATCCTTCTAAGTTGATAGGTCAGAAACCTTGGAGACATCTTTGAGTCTTTGACTCTCTCTCTCTCCTTCCATAACAAATCCTGTCAGTCCTGCCTATGAAATGAAATGTACACAGAATGCAGCCGCTTCTTACAACCTCCCCTATAGCATCCCTAGTCTCAGCTTCCATCATCCTTCACCTGGGCTATTGTACTGGCTTCCTAACTCATCTCCCTGCCTTGTACAGGTCATTGTCAATATGGCAGCTAGAGTGATCTTGCTAAAATATAAGGCAGGTCTTATCATTCTCAACACCCCTCAATGGCTTCCATGTCCTGCCAAAGCCCTTACAATGACCCACAAGTGTGGCCTCCATGCAGCCTATAAGACCCTGCATGGTCGTGCCTTCCTCTGCCCCATTCATTATTCCTGACATCATTTCCTCCTACTACCTTCCTTGCTCCAGCCACCTGGGCCTCCTTGTTTTCCCTTAAACACAGCAGGCACACTCTTGCCGAGAATATTCTTCCCCCAGATACATAAATACATCGCTCACTCTCTTACTTCCTTGAGGTCTTGGCTCAAATGTCATCTTTTCAGTGAGACCTTAAATACCCTAAAGCTTCAAACCTTCCTTCCTAGGCACTCCCAGATCTTCCTCAATGGCTTTATTTTTCTTAGCTGTTATCACCATCTAACATGCTATGTATTTTTTTCATTTAGTTTGTTAATGTCTATTTCCCCTACCAGATTGTAAGCCCGTGAACACAAGGCTTTTTGTCTATTTTGGTCATTGCTTAATCCACAGCATGTAGAAAAGTTCTTAGCACAGAGTAGATGCTCAAGAATTGTTGATTGAACAAATAAACAAAAATACTTAATTGGCCAGAGTGTAAGGAATAGGCATTCTCAAAATTGCTGGTTTCAATGCTGTTGGTATAACCCCTACAGAGATCGAATTGGCAGTAGCTATCAAAACTACAAATGCACATATTCTTTGTCCCAGCAATTCTACTTAGTAATAGCCTTCATATAAATTTACACGTGTGAAATGGCACATGGACAAAGTAATTCACTGCAGCATTTTTAAATCCCTGAAAAGGGATGAAAACAACCAAAATGTCCAGCAATATCTGACTATTTAAATAAATTATGGCATACCCATACAATGAAATATTTTGCAGTGGCAAAAAAGAATAAGGAGACTTCTTGTGTCCTGATGTAAACTCCCAGATCTAAATTTTTCAAGGAAAAAGAAAGGTGCTGAAAGTTCTGCTTCCTGCCACCATTTTAATTTTAATTTAATTTTATTATTATTATTATTATTATTATTATTATTTTAGACAGGGTCTCACTCTGTTGCCCAGACTGGAGTGCAGTGGCACAATCACAGCTCGCTGCAGTCTAGACCTCCTGGGCTCAGGTGATCCTCCCACCTCGGCCTCCTGAGTAGCTGGGACCACAGATGTACACCACCATGCCCAGCTAATTTTTGTGTGTGTATTTTTTGTTGAGATGGGATTTTACCCTGTTGGCCAGGCTGGTCTCAAACTCATGGGCTCAAGCAATCCCCCTGCCTCAGCCTCCCAAAGTGTTGGGATTACAGGCATGAGCCACTGCACTCAGCCACTGTCACCATTTTTATAAAAACAAAAGGAAAGGGTACAAAAAGAACATATAACTATTTTGTTGTATATGCACAGACTATCTCAGGAAGGATACAACAGAAACTGCTAATAGTGGTAGCTTATTTGGTGGGGAATGGATGGGTGGGAGACAGAGGTGGGAGACAGTTTGCTGTAAACCCTTTTAAGCTTCTTGAATTTTTGCACCTATGAATGCTTTTTCTATTAAAAGGAGAATAAGATATGGTTTATGTTCCTGTGTGGAATATCTAAAATATATTGTTACCAAAAAAAAAAAACATGTACAGTATGCTCTACATAGGGGTGGAGGGAGACTTCCTTTTCATTATTTACTGTTTTGTACCATTTGAATTTTACACCTTATTTATGCATTTCCTCTTCAAAAAGAAGTAGGCCAGGCACAGTGGCTCATGTTTGTAATCCCAGCACTTTGGAAGGTCGAGGTGGGTGGATTGCTTGAGCCCAGGAGTTCAAGACCAGCCTGAGCAATATGGCAAAACCCGGTCTCTACAAAAAATACAAAAAATTAGCCAGGTGTGGAGGCGTGTCCTTGTAGTCCCAATTACCTGGGAGGCTGAGGTGGGAGGATCACCGGAACCTCGGAGATTGAGGCTGCAGTGAGCCATGACCACACCACTGCACTTTAGCCTGGGCGACAAAACAAAACAAACACACACACACAAAATAAAGAAATAGAAATCATGGTGTGCAAATGCACTTTTACATGCATCACCTCGACAATTCTATGACTGAAACCTGCCAGCTCTTTCCCCACTTTTCCAGTGAAAGAAACGAATGTTCAGAGAAGTCAGGTCAGACAGCACAGGGGTGAACTGGGAACCTGAGCCTGGTTTTTGCTGACATGACCACGCTGGCCACTCCACCTGGACGGTTCCTGAGTGCTGGTTCCTCCCCTCCCTTCCCACCCCCCTCTCAACCTCCCTGCCCTCCCTGGCTCCTTCTCTCAGGGAGTCGGGGAAAGCAGCTCCAGAAAGTTGGCCACCTGGGGCCTCACTCAGGGGCCACGGCTGGAGGCTCCCTGGTGCCTGGCAGTTTCCCTCTCTGCTCAGAGCCACCCAACCTGGTGCCCCGGGGGGGCTGCTCCGCTCCTCCCTTGAGCCTTGGTGCTCTGTGGTTGAAAACAGCTGCCCCTCCCCCACTCTCCTCTGAGCTTCCAGGCCCCCTCCCTGAGCCTGTACCTGTCAATGATGACGGGGTCTGAGGGCGTCTCATTCCGGTTGCCACAGCTCTTCCGGTCACAGCACCGGCTGAAGGAAAGATGAGGAAGGAGGGAAGGCAGAAGCCAAGGAAGGAGGGGGCCACGACAGTGTGTGAGTTGTGGGGGGCGCCCTGAGCTGAGGGTGCTGATGTCCTGTCTCTGGGTGTGGAATCCCTGGGCTGGAGGGGCTCACTCCCAGGGCTTGGGGGAGAAAGGCTGTGGGCTCCTCCGCAGGGACCCTGAGAGCCTAGCCTGGGGATGAGGCTGGCCAGAGACCCCTGCCCCAAAGGCACCTCGTTCCTGGAGGACCCAGGAAAGGGCAGGCTGCAGGTCACCTACAGGGTTTCTCTCTATGGAAGCACAGTCTACGCAGAGACAGGAGCTCAAACGGTGAGCTCATGAATGACCACAAAGTGAATCTTTTTTTCTTTTTTTTGAGACAGAGTCTCATTCTGTCACCCAGGCTGGAGTACAGTGACGTGATGTTGGCTCACTGCAACCTCTGCCTCCTGAGTTCAGGCAATTCTTGTGCCTCAGCCTCCTAACATAGCTGGGATTACAGGTGTGCACCACCACGCCTGGCTAATTTTTGTAATTTTGGTAGAGACGGGGTTTCACCACGTTGGCCAGGCTGCTTTTGAACTCCTGGCCTCAAGTGATCCGCTCGCCTCGGCTTCCTAAAGTGCTGGGATTACAGGCGTGAGCCATTGTGCCTGGCCAATGGATGGCCACAAAGTGAATCTGCCCATGAAAGCAGCATCCACACCAAGAAGTGCTGCGTGGCCAGCAGCCCAGATGCCGGTCATGCCTCTTCCTTGTCACTCCCTTTTCCAAGGGTAGCCACAGTTCCAACCACAGATTTATTTAATTTAAATTTATTTTACTTTATTTATTTTTTTAGAGACAGGGTCTGGATCTGTCACCCAGGCTAGAATGCAGTGGTGCAATCATAGCTCACTGCAGCCTTGAACTCCTGCGCTCATGCCTCAGCCTTCCTGCCTCAGCCTTCCAAGTAGCTGGGATTACAGGCGCCTGGCTACCAACCACAGATTTCAGAACCCTGTTCTCTTTTCCATGCATCAGGAACTGCCTCCGAGGACCCTGTACGACTGGCATCTCTTGGGGAGACCTTACTAGAAATGCCAAGCTCTGGGATAATGGGGAAAAGGGAGCCAAGGGCTGTGCACCCCTTCACTCCCACCCTGCCCTGCCAGAGAGCTGCCCTAGGATTCAAAATTTCCTCAAAGATTAGCTTCTGAGCTAATCCCAGAGGCCTTCCCAGACCCTGTTCCCGCAACCCCAGCAGCCCTCCCCTGAGCTTTATTAGCTAAGCTTCCCAGTGGCAGCAGGAGGCCTCTCTTACAAAAACACTCGGAGAAGCCACATAAACAGGCCAGGCTAATGGGGCCTCAAGGACCCTCTCCTCAGCCAGCGCTGTGCCCAGGGGCCTCACCACTCCCTTCATCACCTGCCACCAGGCTTCTCCAGGGAGCAGCAGCAGAGAGCAGCCAGGGGCAAGGGCGGCGAGGGGGCAGGGCCTGGGTAGAGTCCTCAGAAACGCCTTGGCAGAGGGGTGAGGTGTGAGTGACATGGCCATCTCACCTGCACATGATCTCATGGGTGAGCAGCACTCGGCACATTTCGGGGTTCTTGTCCTGCCCCTCATAGATGATGGCCTGGGGAGAGGGAGGTGCACAGGCTGGAGGGGAAGGAGGCTCCTCTGAGGTGCAGGTGGCAGCACAGACGGACCTGGCATCTCCCAAGCCTAGGCCCAGGGAGACCCTGCCCCAGGGAAGAGCACGCCCTCTGCCTTGCTCTGGGCTGCCCAGGCGGGGGATAACCCCTCCTCCCAAACCGGACCACCACCGGCTGGCAAGAATGGTATGAAGTCTGCAGATTCTGTCTGTCTGTAGGTGGCTCTTTCCAGAGCTGGCTCTGCTTGGGGCAGGGGGTTCCTCAGGGTGCCAGGACAAAGGTCAGGTGGCTGGTGGGGTAGACATACTCCTGTGCCCACCCAGCACCAGGCCCCTCCCCTCCCCCAGCATCCTCCTGTGTGCATCCTCCATGTCCTGACGGACCTCTGCTTCTGTTGATGAGTGTTGTCCTTCTCAGCTATCCCTGCCAGCCCAGTCAGCTCCGAGGGCTGCACAGCTGCCTCTTCCCCCTAGATAACTATCGCCTCTTCCCCCATACCATCCCTAGCCCAGGCTCGGTCTTCCCCTGGGACTGCTGCATCACCTCCTCACCAGTCTTCCAGCCTCCCTCTGCCCAGAAGCAAGAAGTGAGCTTCCTAACTGCAAATCTGCCTTCCTAGTTTATAACCCTCTGTGCCTTCCCCCATTTGTGGGATCCCTCTCTCTGTGGACTTCCTCGAACCCCTTCCACACCCGTCCCCTTGACAGTTCCACTAGGCACTGCCTGGCCTGCCTCCCCCAGCCCAGTGGCCATGGGTATTCTAGAAACAAACCATTCTTCCCTCTGCCCTGGGATTGGGTGGAGGCTGCCAAAAGACCCTGCCTATGTAGGAAGCCCAGATCTCCAGCTTGCATTCCTAGCCCACTAATCTGGCCCATTTGAGACTCAGCCCCCTCCTTGCCAGCATGCACAGCTTCTCTGAAAAGCCCTGAGATTTGGGGCCCTGTGTTGGCAGAATCCATCAGAGCCTGTTCAGGTTTCAGTTTCCTCCAGCTCCTTGTGCTGGCCTCTGAGCCTCCTTCCCGTAACCGTCACATCAGCAAGGTGCAAGGGTCTGCAGTGGAAATTCCCAGGGCTGTGCCCACATCCCCTTTACTGGAAATGTGCACCTTCCCGTGGCTGTGGCTGATGTCAGCTGCAGAGGGCTTCCTCCTGAGAACTGCTCTCAGTGGACAGGAACTGCCTGGTCTGAAAATGTCTCAGAGGTTACGTGCTACCCTTAGGAGTGGTTCCCAGCCAATGACTAATTGATACGGGGTGCAAAATCCTGGTACTTGCTTCGAGGGGGGACACTTCTGGTGCCATTCCTTCTCCAGAGCTCCCTGTGCAGTTTTCTGTCCAGCTTACCTCCCTCCCCTGCTCCTAGGAGCCCCTCCCATCTCCCCAAATAAACTACCTGCACCTGAGTTCCCATCTAAGGCTGGGCTGCTAGGAAACATGACCCAAGCCAGGGTTTTTGTACAAATATTGTCTTTTCTAGAACAGAGGGCAAAAGCCACACACCCTCCGGCACAGGCTGGGGTGGGAACTGGGGGAGCTAGGCTGATGGGGACGGAGGGCATAGGGAGATGAGGGCAGGAACAAGGAGGCTCACTCAGACCAGGGGGAGGCAGGGTCCGGGAAGAGAGTGAGATGGGCCTCAGCACCCTCTGCGCTGACTCACCTGTTTGGACATGGAGTCGATGAGACGCACGTAGAGGTCTTGCTCTGTCCGCAGTCCTAGGATGGGAAGATGGAGAGGGCTTGCTGCTGGGGGAGCATGTGCAGCCTCAATGACCAGACCACATCACACCCTCCCCAGCCCTGGCACAGGGGGCATTAGGTGTCGCATGATGCTGCAGTGCCCAGACTTCAGGGGCAGGGCTGGGTAGGGCAGGGGCCTCCACTCACCATTGTTATACACCAGCCGGAGGCGGTAATGGATCCCATTGTTAGTCTTTTCCGCCCCGGGCTCCTGCAGGGACAAGATGGGAGGATGCTCGGGTGCTCAGGGATCCTCCAGCCTCCCTTGTCCACCCCTTCTCCTAACCCCAACTTCTTTCCCACCCTTCCAGCCACTCAGCCAGCTTCCATCCATTCATCTGTCCCAGTGTGTGTGTGTGTGTGTGTGTGTGTGTGTGTGTGTGTGTGTGTGTGTGTGTGGTTGGGGGTTCCCTCCCGGGGCCAGTCCCAGCCAAGCCCATGAGCCTCTCACTCGGTCCTTTTCCACGAAGTCGATGAAGGCTGTGCGCTCCACCTCCACGGGCTGCCCCTGCCGGTCGTACATGGCCAGCACGAAGTGGAAGAAGTTGGATTTCCTGAGGTTGGAGGGAGGCTGCTTCTCAAAATGTGCTCGTGCCAGACCCACGCCACTGTGGGAGGAAAAGAGCTGGAAAACCACTGGAAGGCCCCCCAGTGAGAAAGACTCCAGCGCCTCGGGCCAGGCAGGCATGCTAGCCAGGACATGGCTCCAAGATGCCAAGAGTTTGGGCAAAAAATCCAACTAGACAGGCCCTTTCCAGCCTGACCAGGGCCATCTCGCTTCCAGATAGAGGTCTCTCAGCACCTAGGGCACCCCAGCCTGCCCCCTGGAAAACAAGAGGCAGAGTGGTGACTGCAAAGGAGGAGGCCCTGTCAGTCTCCCTCCCAGGCTTTTCCCTGGGCAGCACATTTTGCAAGGCCAGTCTCAAAAATCAAAAGTATGAACCAATCTGTCTTTCTGACCAGAGGCTCTTGTGACTGCCCTTTAGGGCTTCAAGGAGACCCCGGGGGCCCTAGAACAAATATCCCACTAAACCCCAGCCCAGGCTGAGGCTGTCATGAGCCTGTGGTGTTGCCTGGGGAATGGCGATGTCCATCAGACCCTTGGAGGCATCAAACTGGCTCAGGACCACTAGTCTGCCTGGCCTGGGCCCTGGCTGAAGGTAGGGAGCACCCCCAAAGTGTAGAGGAACCTGCCTCCAGGCTTTGGGAGAGACAACCACAGGCTCCCTTGGGCAGGAGGAACTTCTCTTCTGGCCTTGCTAAGGGATCTCTCCTGGCTCATCAGAAACCATGCCCAGAAGCAAGGCCAGAGTGAGAGCAGGAGGAAGGCATTCCCTCTTCCCCAAATATCCCCTGCATCCCAGTGATACACCAAGCACTGGACACATGGCAACAACTGGGGCTAGGAGCAAATGCCTGGAAGAGGGGAGACAGAGAGAGAGGTACAACATCAGACAAAGGGGCAGGTGCCCCCCAAAGATGTCCATGCAAAAAAACTGGAGAAGCAAAGGAAGAAAATATTAATTCTTTTTATGGGAGATGAAGGGAAGGCTTCATGGAATGGTGGCTTTCCCCTAAGTCCTTGAGGAATAAACAGGAGCTCAACAGATGAACAAGAAAAAGGGCAGAATAAACAGCACAAGGAATGGCTGGATGTGTAGAGGCTGCTGCTGTACCGCAGGTGTCAAAAAGCGAAGTGAAAGGAGGAAAGTTTGTACTGGAAGTTCGTGCCAGATCATGGAAGGACACAGACACCAGGGGAAGGGGTTAGATTCTCTTCTCTGAGCCACGGCCTTCCAAAGTGTGTTCCTTAGATCTCTCATGGCTCCAGAGCCTCCCTTTAGAAAAGGGTGCTGTGGCCACAGACATGGGTGTATTTGGGGGCCCCTAGGACACCCTCCAGGAATGTACCCTGCTTGAGTTGGCTAGGGCTGGTGCTCTGCATGTGTGGAAGCCAGCCTACAAGATGGTTCCCAGTGAGCCCCACCCCCTGGGATTCATGCCCTTAGTTAGCCCCCTCTTGTATTGTGTTGGGATTGGCCTGTGAGGTCAATAGACTATGGCAGGAGTAATAGCATATAACTTCCAAGGTTAGATCATAAAAGCACTGCAGCTTCTGACTTCTTCCCTTTTTTGGATTAGTGATTCAGGGGGAAGCCAGCTGCCATGTCTTGATGACACTCAAGTAGCCCTATGGAGAGGTCCACAGGGAGAATAACTGAGGCCTCCTGCCGATAGCCAGCCCTGACTTGCCAGCATGAGCGACCTTGGAAGCAGATCCACCCGCCTCAGTCAATCCTTCAGACGACTGCGGCCCCAGCTCTCATCTTGCTGCAGCCTCATGAGAGGCCCTGATCCAGAACCACCAGGCTAGTCTGCTCCCTTATTCTGACCTCAGAAATTGTGTGAGATAATAAATGTTTGTTGTTTTAAGTTGCTAAGTTTTGGAGTCGGTTTTTTTTTTCTTTTTAGATACAAATTTGAAGACTTGGGCTCAAGACCTGCCCCGCCTTTTTTTCTTCAAGGCAGGATCTCACTCTGTCACGCAGGCTGGAGTGCAGGCTGCAATCACAGCTCACTGCAGCTTCGACCTACTAACTCAAATGATCCCGCTGCCTCAGTCCTCCAAGTAGGTGTGACTACAGGTGCATGCCTCCACACCCGGCTAAATGATCCTTCTGCCTTGGACTCCCAAAGTGCTGTGATTACAGGCATGAGCCACCATGCCCAACCTGGAATACTTTTTTTTGAGACAGGGTTTTGCTCTGTCATCCGGGCTGGAGTGCAGTGGCGTGATCATAGCTCACTGCAACCTTGAACTCCTAGACTTAAGCGATCCTCCTGCCTCAGCCTCCCAAAGAGCTGGGATTACAGGTGTGAGCCACCATACTCAGCTTGGAGTAACTTTTTTTTTTTTTTTTTTTTTTTAAGACAGGGTCTTGCTCTGTTGTCCAGGCTGGAGTGCAGTGGTGTGATCTCAGCTCACTGTAGCCTCAACCTCTGGGACTCAGGCAATCCTCCCACCTCAGCCTCCTGACTAGCTGGGACTACAGGCATGCACCACCATGCCTGGATAATTTTGTTTACTTTTTGTAGAGATGAGGCTGGACTTGAACTTCTGGGCTCCAGCTTTCTCCCATCTTGGCCTCCCAAAGTGCTGGGATTACAGGTGCCAACCACTACACCTGGCCAACTAACACACCCTGCTTACCTGACTACGGAGCACTTTTGTTGAGGGTCATGGTTTCGGAAACATGACTAAAGGCCACTAGAAAGTTCTGAAGCCAGGCAGGGCTTAAAGATGCTATGGGGGAAAGGAGGGTGCAGTGTGGGGGACAAGAGAGAGGCTGCTGCAGGGATGCAGGGGAGTGACCAGGATGGGGAACTGCCTTGAGGACCACTTAGGTCAGCTTGTCCAGGTGCCCATCATGAGCATGCTCCTGTGACAATGGCTGCCACAGTCACCACTACTTACTATTTTTCTTCATATAACTTTAAATCAATTTATTCTTTTACTTGGCTTCAGGCTAAGCCATAACACCTGGGATGTCATGGGCATGAGGGACTTGCTATTGTTTTACACATACAAGTTATAATAAATAGTAAAATGGAAAATGTTTCCTCCTCTTGAAAGCTTGCCCCGGAGCCTCCCTCAGTTATCCACATGAAATGCTGACTTAGGAGGCAGAAGCCATAAGTCTTCTTGTCCCTGATCAAGATGAGGGGAGGGGACCTCCAGTATCTTTTTTTTTTTTTTGAGACAGGATCTTGCTCTGTCACCCAGGCTGGAGTGCGGTGGCACAATTATAGCTCACTGCAGCCTCAACCTCCTAGGCTCACGTGATCCTCCCACCTCAGCCGTCCGAGTAGCTGGGACTACAGGCATGAGCCACCATGCCCAGCTAATTAATTTTGGAGAGATGGGGTCTCACTGTGTTATCCAGGCTGATCTTGAACTCCTGGGCTCAAGCGATCCTCCTGCCTTGGCCTCCCAAAGTGCTGGGATTATAGTCTTGAGCCACTGCGCCCGGCCTCAACACCTTTCTTTCTGACCACAGATTCTTTTTACAGATGCTCCTTTCCCTAGGGAATTCACTGTCCCTCCATCTTTCCCTGCTCCCTCCACCCCCTTGCCCTCAGGCTGCAGTCCTTTCAAGTTGAGGCCTTGATCGCCCCTCACCCGCTCCCCAGCCAGCAAGAGGCAGGGAAGCCCTAAGAGGGCTTTCGATCACAGCGGGGCCCTGATTACTGTTGATGAATATGCTAATGAGGCCTCAACCCTGAGCTCCTCCCTCCTGCTCCCAGGACCAGCTTAACTTGAACTCCACTGGGGATGGGTTCCAGGACCACCTAGTGGGAGAGAAGGCCAGAGGAGATGGGTTTGTGAAGCACTCCCAGGTCCCTGTGGCTTTTATATCCTGTCATCTAGCCCAGCGAAGGGGCCTGGAAGGCTCTCAGGCAGTGGGGAGGGAGGCTATAGAGAGAAAAGGAAGCCTTGCCAGAGGAGTGGTGGGTGCTGAGAAATAACGGAATCTCCCAGACCACTGGACATGCCCTTTCTACACAGACACCCTGCAAGTGCTCAGGCCAAATTCCAGACTGGTGCAGCATAAATCACAGATGCTGGCCTGAGCTTCCTGTCCCACCCAAATATCAGCCATTGCTGGGTCCTGGCTGCCCCCCAGCTCCTGCCAGGCTGCTGAGGACCAGACCTGGGAAGTCTGGCATAAGCCCCAAGCCAAGCTTCCTTCCCAGGGCTCAGCATCCCTGCAGGAGGGGATTACACAGGAGCAAGGGCACAGGGACCTGGGAGGGGGGAAGACAGCAGGTTCCCCTGGGGTCTCTGGGCCAGTGTCTCCTGCCAGCTGGGGGCATGGAGGGGCTGCCCTGCTTTGCATGCCTGTGCCCTGCCCCATAGTAGGTTTAGGATCAGTCCACTGCCCCGAGGCAGCCCAGAGCGGCATCCTGCACTTCCCCAGCACGGCTCAGTGGGTCTGAGGCACACTCATCCTCCCAGGCTCACACCCACCCATGGAGCAGCACTGGTTAGTTTACAGCTGCAGGACAAGATCCGTGCCATGGACAACAACAGGGCAGTGTTAATGACGGCCCCCGCCCCTTCCAACCAGAGGAGGACTGCAGAGTGGGCAAGAGCCCTGCAGCGCACATGGGGCTGCCCCTTGCCTGGGAATGTCTCCGGCTCACCCTGTTCATAGCCCTGCCAGGCTTGGAGAAGCTCAAGCAAAGGATACTTCCTATGAACAAGAGACGGAGAAGGACACGAGGAACAGCATGTTGCGGGGAATAGGACTCGAGAGCAACAGAGGCAGGTGTGGACGGTGCCTCCTTCTCCTGATTGACCCCAACATGCAGGAGGTGACCAATCAACACTTGTAGAATGGAAATGCAAGTTCCAAAGAGAGAGGGCTGGGGAAGGGGAAGGGGAGATTACAAGCTGATTACAAGCTGATGCTCTTGTAATGAGAAAACAAACCCGGACTAAAGAACAGAAAAAAAGAAACAGGGATAGAGACTCAAACAGCTCAGGAGGTGCTGAGTGGTCTGAGGGCCCCTGATGAGCACATCCTGGGTGCAGATGTGTGGGGACACAGGTGGGATGTGGGGGCCACTGTCTGCTCTCAGACTGGCTTAGAGACAGAGAGATGTGGACCAAGGCCAAAGTCTTTGATCTCATGGTGCCGCTCCAAAGTGGCGCTGCCTAAGACAAACATTGGGGTGTGGAGAGAAACTGCACGTATGTCTTTTGATATGTATCCTTAATTTAAAAGAAAGAAAGGGGGAGAGAAGGGGGAATAGAGCCTCTGAAGCCTGGAGAGGCAAGTATTTTATTTGGGTTCCCCGAGAAGCAGACCTGGGGACAAGGATGCAAATACCAACAGTGTTATCTGGGCAGTGATTCGGAAACACTGGGGGTTGGGGGTGAGACAAAGATGAGAAAGCAGCCTATAGAGGGTGCATTTTCAAGTCCCCACTGTAGGCACCTGGAGCTCCATCCCACGGGGAACTCTGGAAACAGCATGGAATGTGTGCCTCAGCATTATCCCACCAGAGGGATGGGTGAGGGAGCTGGGGTATTTATCCACCAACTCCAGTCAGTCACTGGTGGAGGGCTTCTACGGCTGTTACTTCTCAGGTACTTCTGGGCTGAGCAGAGCAGGCTCTGGCAGCCTGAGCAAGTCCTCAAGCAAAGGGAAGCAGCTAACAGCAGGGGAGGCAGAGCCTTGACCAATGGTCCTGAGGGGATGTGGGTGGGTACCAACTGCCAGCCATTCAGAGGCCTGGGGTACGATGGATGCCAGCAAAGCTACAGCCCCAAGGGCCTGAGTGCAGCTTGGCAGGTATCAGTTTATGACAAATACAAGTAAGAACTGCCTCACCTGGCACATGTACTGCTGGCACCCATAATTCAGAAACAGCTTATTCACTTAGCATCATTAGTGAACAAACCATGCCACATAAACGCCTTTTCCAGAGAAATGCAGCTGAGTGACAAAATCAGCCACATTAACCACTTCTGCAAGACTGCAAAATGAATTATACATTTCCTCGCTTTCTTAAAAAGATTGTTTAAAGCACAATGTTCAAAACACTTTCTTCTCAACTCCAGAGTGTCCTGAGGCAGTGGGACATTTGCCCCCGTACTAAAGAACCCAGATTTGGGAAGAGAATATGCTCGCTTTTGTATTTTCATTGTGCCCCACTCACCTCCTTTCCATCTTTCATTCTTAAATAGACCGAAAATTAAAGGAGACTGTTTGAGACACCAAAAAAGATTTACGTTGCACAGATGCATTTTGGTCAGAGTCAACATGCTTTGTAGTGAGCATGGGTGTGCATGGACTTCCTGAGCACTGTTGGGAATCCAGGTTCAAGTCAACACCAAGGGCAACCTGACCTTCACAGACTAGGTCATTCAGGTGGACTGTGCTCCAGAGTGTATGCAGATGCCTGTGGGGAGATGCCAGCAGCTGCAGAGGTGTCTGACTGCTATTGCTGGGGCTGCCCAGCAGGTCCCGGGAGATGCTCCTTTGCAAGGCTGAGCAGGACACTCCAGGGCCCTTTTCGCGGCAGCTGCTCTCCCCTGCCACAGCATAACTGTCTGGTACAGACAAAGCCCCCCTCACAGTCTCTGTTCTCTCTTCCCAAGGCCACTCACGGCTCTTCACATCCTTGACTGCATGCTTGTTATAGTAAGCAATTTAACCACAGCCAGCTCAAATCCCACAGAGGACAAGTGACCAAGGCTGGAGCCTCGGCCTCCTCTCAGAGGCACCCCCAGGCGTCTTGCCTTCCCTTCTCCCCACCAAAACCTAACTCCTGGCTGCCTTGATAACTCAAGGTTTTGAGCCGTGCCTTGCCCTGGTCCTAATTTGTCTTTGAGTCTGGGATGCTAGGGCTACGGGGGACAAGCCCTACTTTCATCAGTAATGGGGGGAGGCTCTTTGTTGACACCCATCACCCCAGGAAGTGGAGGGAGCAAAAACTCCTGCATCTCATCCCTTTTCGCAGATTTCCCCAAAGTCTCTCTCTGCTAAGTCCAGCTCTTCTTAGCCCCATCCTGACAGGGCTCCACCAGTCCCTTTCCTCTACATCCCCCCTTCCTCCAAGCATCCCATTGGCCCCTGCTCTCCCCTGCAGGCACCCTCTGGACCCCGGGACTGCTGATGATGATCAAGCTGGGCCTGGCCCTCCTGCCCCAGACAAGATCTATTGGCCTGGCCCTGCCCAGCCCCTGACATGCCAGCCCCTGGCCATGGTGCAGACTGGGGAAGATAAAAGCAGTAGCCCAGTGGGGCACACCCACCTCAACAATGCTTGCACAGGGAGGACCTGGTGGCTGCAGGCAGCTGCCCAGAGCCTGTGTCCAGTTGGTCCTGCTGGAGATGAGGTTTGGGTCTGGGGAGGGTCCCTATCCCCTCTTCCCACTGCCCCCAGCAGCTGCCCTGCTCACCTGCCCCAGGAAATTGGCACAGTGACCAAAGTCCCTGAGGGCAGGGGAAAGGGAGGGGGAAGAATCTCACAGGCCTGCTCTCCCCCTCTTCTTTTGGCCCTCAATTCTACCTAAAGACTCCCCACTCCACTGCTCTCTGCCCACCCTCTCGCCACCCACCCACAGGCCTGCCTGCCAGGTCCCAGGCTGAGAATCGGCTATGAATTATTAAAGCAAACAAAAGCATTTCCTAGCAGGGATGCTAGCCTGCAGCTGCTTACAGGAAAGGCAGCCCCAGCTGGCCTCCCTCTCCGGGGCCCTGCTAGTGTGCAGGGATCAGCTCCAGGGGGAGGTCTGGCCTGGGCCTTCCAGAGGTCTCCCCAGACTGGGAAGCACATCAGAAGGAGAAGAGAGCTACTTCTGTGCTGAGTGTGCCAGCAGGAGGACTTGAGTCTTCAGGGGAGTCAGGGGAAGATGGGCTGGGGCTGGGCAAATGGATCTCAGAGATAACGTCCTGTTGGCTCAGGGCAGGGGCAGGGGGTCCTTGTGCAGACTTCCCTGGTAGGAAGACATTGGTAGGGAGAGGGCAGCCCTCTCCACCAGCGTTCCCATCCCCATTGCCTCCAGTTTAAGGGTATGCAGCCCCTCTGCTCTCCCTACCCCCTTTTTCTTTCTTTCTTTTTTTTTTTGAGACAGAGTCTCGCTCTGTCACCCAGGCTGGAGTGCAGTGGCGCGATCTCGGCTCACTGCAAGCTCCGCCTCCCGGGTTCACGCCATTCTCCTGCCTCAGCCTCCTGAGTAGCTGGGACTACAGGCGCCCGCCACCACGCCCGGCTAATTTTTTGTATTTTTAGTAGAGACGGGGTTTCACCGTGTTAGCCAGGATGGTCTCGATCTCCTGACCTCGTGATCTGCCTGCCTCGGCCTCCCAAAGTGCTGGGATTACAGGCGTGAGCCATCGCACCCGGCCCTCCCTACCCCTCTTTTGCTCAGAACTTTCCTTCCTGTTGGCAGAGCCTCCCTCGCTGATCTTAGCAGGCCTTCTGGGCCTTTTCCTCCCCACCCACCTTCTGTAAAATCTTGGCATTGTTGTAAAAGTCAAGCTGTAGAACTGGGCAGGAGAAGCTGCTCCAGTAGCTGATTCCTGGGTCAGGTAGAACCTGGAGTCTTCCAAAGTCAAGAGGGGAACCAATATAAGGGGACTTGGGAGCCTCTGAGAAACATTACTGCTTCCTCCGGCAGACAGTCATCACCCCCATCCCCCATGGACTGCCTGAGCCTGCCCTGGGTGCTGTGGACACAAGGATGAACGGACCGCTACCCTTGCCTTAGGGGAAGGCCCCAGCTGGCAGGGCAAGGAGGACCGGGACAGGCAGAGGAGAGCAGATGCTGGCCTATGGTAAGCATTCGTAGGCAGCATTAAAGCCACTCCCGTGGGCAGGGTGGGAGGGCACAGAAAGAGCAGTTGCTGGGGTCGGTGGGTGTAAGAGGGAGTCCTGAGGCTGGTGAGACTTAATCCAGGGGATGTGCGGGTGCTGAGGGCAGAGGGATTGTTTCAATAGACCATAGCACTTACTGGAGGCGCAGCTAATTCTCCAAGTATCCACTGCCTGCCAAGCATCATGCAGAGGAGGCTGGGGAGGAAGGCTGGAGTCAGACCATGATAGGCCTTGAATGTTGGAGATATCCATGAGGAAGCAGTGGGGCTTGGGGGTTGGTCACTTTATTTTATTTTATTTTATTTATTTACTTATTTATTTTTGAGGCACAGTTTCACTCTGCCGCCCAGGCTGGAGTACAGTGGTGCGATCTTGGCTCACCGAAGCCTCTGCCTCCCGGGCTCAAGCAATCCTCCCACCTCAGCCTCCCAAGTAGCTGGCACTACAAGCATGCTTCACCACGCCCAGCTAATTTTTGTATTATTAGTAGAGACAGGGTTTCACCATGTTGGCTAGGCTGGTCTCGAACTCCTGGCCTCAAGTGAAACGCCCACCTTGGCCTCCCAAAGTGCTGGAATTACAGGCGTGAGCCACCGCGCCCAGCCTGGTCACTTTATTTGTAATCGGAGAGAGACATGATCTTAAAAAAGTACTTTGGAAATACTGCTTTGGTCCCCAATGCAGGGAAGATGGTTTTAGGGGAGTGGTGAATGGCTGGGGCTAGGCACTGGGCCAGGAGGCTGAGGTGGTAACCAGGGTGCAGTTAACCTTCAAGCCAGGGAGGAAGCGGGTGGAGGGCCAGGGGGTTTCATTGCTAAAAGTGGTGGCTGAGGGCACTGAGATTGGGACTAGGACACGGAAAAGAACATTCCTAAGCCTTGACAATCAGGCAACTGTGGGGTGAGGCTGAGGAAGGTGTCAAAGCCAACTCTCGGATCCCAGGGAGTCTTTTGGGAGAGCACTTCCGTGAAAGTTTCTCAGAGATGAGAGGGAGAGAAACCAGGCCGTGATGAAGGCGGAGGCAGGGCCAGGGGGAGGAATTTTCATTGTTGCTGTTTTGGGATGAGAAGACCCGTGCAGAGGACTGACTGAGGAACCAGATACAACTGTAGTGATGACAGACAACACGGGGAAGAGTGGGGAGGAAGGATGAGGCAGCTCCCTCTGGGACAGGGAGGAAAGTCAGCTGAACAACAAAGCGAGTGGGGGCTCCTAGTCTATGTCCTGAGACAGAGAAGTCTCCACACTTGGGGATTAGCAGACCGAGCCTGAAGAAAGCCCCTGTTCACATTGCGGAAGCCCTCTGCATCCCAGCAATGTGGCCCTCACAATGTGGGGAGTCAGACTGGACACCCCAAGCCCACTCAACCCCACTATGCGCAGACACCACTGCTGTGGCCCATGCTCTGGGGGAAGCCTTATCCCCACACTTCTTGAACCCCACGCAGTCTCCAAGGGCACTGCCTCCTTCACGTCTGCTTCCCCTTCATCAGACCTGCCTCTGGGTAGGCACAGAGGGAAAGGTTGCAGAGAAATGGAACCTTAACTCCCAGAGGCCCCCATCAGCACTCCTCACCCACTCTTACAAAGAGCTCTCGCCACACAGCAGGTGGTGGGGCCAAAGAGGGGGCCATGTTAAGAAACTAACCTTCTCAAGTTGAAAAAAAAAAAAGCCAGAACCAACAGAAGAATAGGCAGGAGGTGGAATTGTAAGCATAGCACAGGAAAACACAAGTTAATGGGAAGAAAAATAGGAAGGAAATACACTAAAATGTTGACAGTAGTTGTATTACAGAGGAGGGACTAAATTTTTTATTTTCCAATTTTTCTAGAATATAGCTATATCCCTTGTAAAAGTTTTGGAAATTAATTCATCCACAAGACCCTTTCTCTTCCGTAAGAGATCAGCTCCAGAGCCCCCCAGCGTTCCCTCCCGACAGCCAGGAAAGGACCGGCGTGCAGAAACGGCTTCAGTTTGCACATGAAGCGCGGTGTGTGTCTGTTACACGGTGAGGTTGAGGCGTCCTGCGGAGTGTGAATGTGGGCTCCTGTGTCAGGCCCGGTCTGCATTAAGCCCCCCATTCAGAATCCCTTCGGGCTGCTGCAACAGCTCAGACTTCTGGGAAGCCAAGTGCCCACCCTGTCCCAGCTGTCAGCAGAGCTGGCACCTCCCTAATCCTAACCACTGTGACTCCCCATAGGATACCTAAATGCCTCCCTCCATGGTCACAGCTGAAGGTGCAAAAAGCCAGGGGGTGCAGGGGCTTTGGGGGCAGGTCAATAAACTTTTAAAGTTCGCTTTCAAATCCTGGAGTCAACCCCCTACTGAGACTCCCAGACCCCTGCAAAGGAGTCAGAGGAGACCGGCGCGGGTGCTGGGTTCCCAGGGACTCTCTGCCTTCCAAAGGACCTACCAGAAAAACACCCGAGGGAAAGGCAGGGGCCCTGCCCAGTTCCCAGGCCAATCAGTCCAGCCAGGCCGACTGCCCACCTCATCTCTTCGCCACCGTCCAGCCCCCAGCCGCTTCTCTGGCTCTGCACACCCCCATCCGCCAACTCTGAGGGGCGTGGGAAAGGAAAAAGGGGGCTGGGTTTCGTGCCTTTCCTGACAGAGAGCTGCGGAATTGGACAAGGAGAGTCACTGGGACTGCCCAGGAAGGAGGGGCTGGACGTTCCTAGACGGCCGGTGGCTGTGGGTCATGGCTGGGAGCTCTGCCTCTTCTCTCAGAGCCATAGACAGCCCGGCTGGGGTGGCGTTCACCGCCGCACCCGCGAGCGGCCGTCAGAAATCTACCGGGGCAGCCCGGAGTGGAGGCAGAAGCCCCGCCCCAGCCCGCCCCACAGCCTCAGGAGGCAGCACAGGCACTCCGGACGGGGTGGGCCGGGGAGCTCGCCGGGACCGTCCAGAGTTAGGGCTCCTTCCGCCCCTGGCTCCAGCAGCTCCAGCAAGCTGAGCTGAGGCGGCGCGCAGCCGTCCAACCCGAGCGCACCGGGTCCGGTCCGAGCGCTTACCTCTGCGCCGCGGTGCTGGCGTCCAGGATGCCCGCGCCCTGCATCCAGGAGCGCACTGAGCCCAGGCCGGCGGGCAGCAGCGGCTCCTCCTTCAGGTTCAGCCCGCTGCGGGGCAGAGCGTCCTGCGCAGGGAACATGAGGGCGCGCGGTGAGTGAGCGCCCCCGCCGCCCCGGATCCGGTCCCGCTGAGGCTGCGGGCGTCTAGCTCAGCCCGACCCGACGGCACCAGGCGCCTCCAGCAGCGCAGCGCCGAGTCCGGGTGGCTCAGTGCGCGCTCGCCTCTTGGGCGCTCCCTCGGAGAAAGCGGGTCCGCGGGCGCCGGCGCTGTCCCCTCCCCTCCTGGGGCGCTGGGCGGGGAGATGGAGGGATTCCCCCGCGGCCTGAGCGCTGGCGGGCGGACTGCGAGCGGGGCGGGGAGGGCGGGGAGCGGAGCCCGCACCCGGTCCGCGCGGAGGCGCCCCAGAGGCGCGCTCTGGCGGCTGCCCGGGGCCGCGGTCGTCGGAGGGGGGGCCCGAGCGCCCCGGGAGCTGCCTCGGGCAAGGCGGGGGCGCGGGGCCGCCCGCCCTTTCCCCCTCGCCGCCCCCACCTCCCGCCCGCCCGCCCGCCCGCGGCGCCAGCGCGGGGCGCTGATTACCATCCGGGAGGCGGAGGCTGCGGGCGCGGAGCTCGGCGGCGGCGGCGACAGTGGCGGCAGCGGCGGCAGGAGCAGCAGCAGCCGCGCGTCCCGGGGAAAGGCTGGGGCCGCGCCGGGCCAGCAGACGCCGCCGCCGCCAGCGCCAGCGCCCCGCGTGCCCCGGCGTCCCGGCCCTGCCGTAGCCCCGGGCGGCAGCACCTGGAGCAGCAGCAGCAGCAGCCCGGCCGACTCCCCCCGGGGCCCGGTTCCCGCGCCGCCCCGCCGCGGCCGCCGCCGCCCGCCGCTCCCCGGGGCCTGGCCTCGGGCCCGGGCCATCCCGCCGCCGCCGCCGCCGCCGCCGCCGCTCCCGGGGGAGCGGTAGCCGAAGGGAGGGAGCGCAGGCGGGAGGAGGGATGTCGGGAGCGGGCGGGCCCAGGGGACGGGGGCCCGGGGGAGGCGGGGGCGGGGCGGCGCGGCCGGCCGAGGGGCGGCCGGGGACGTGACATCATCGGGGGAGGAGCGGCCGGGCCCGGGCCGCGGCGGCGGGGCGGACCCTGGCGAGTCGGTCGCCTGGGCTGGGGGCTGCGGCCTGGTCGAGGCCGCGGGAGGGAACGGAAGAGCCCGGCGGGGGCCACGGAAACCCGCGCAGGGAGGATCCGGGGCCGCGCGGCGAGGGAGCCCGGCCCGAGCGGGAGGTGCGCGCCCCGCTGCGCTCGGGAACCTCCGCGGCCTCCCCGTCGCCGCCGGACGAAGCCCCGGCGTCTTCGCGGCCTCATCTCCCTCCCCCGGCACCCGCCGTACTCTCCGCGCCCGACGCCTTGTGCCTGGACTTGCTGCTCATTTTGACGCCTCCGAGCTTTCGCTCTTGACGTCTTTCTCCCGCGTGACTGTACTCCCGCATTTCCCCGGCGACCCTGACCTCACTTTCACCCCAGCTAAGGACTGAAACGTCCCTGCCGTAGGCTGCGGCCCCAGACAAGCTGGGCGAGGTCCCTGCATCCAACCATCCCGATTCCTGATGCTGGGTTACCTAAGCCTAAAGCATTTTCAGTTTCCATCTGTGCCTTTCAGGAACCTCCTGATTTCTGATTGCGAGTTGGACAGGTAGGCTCAGAGCCCAGCTCACCTCCTGTTTCTCCCCAGCCGCGTCCCGTCTCAGATCCCATTCCTTTTTTTTTATTAGTTCCTGGCACAGAAGTCGTCTGGCCCTTGACCGTGGGGCAGAGACATTTCTGCCCCTCTCCCCACGTTGTCCTGGCCAGGCTTCGAGCAAGCCCAGACTGAGTCCAGCACTTTCCTGCAGAACAGCATGGGGGCCACCTGCCCTGCCTGCCATGTTCACGCTCAGACACCCCTGCAATAACACCTTCCTGCTCCAACTCACTCCCATCCTCTTCTGGGGGGCCTCCAAGTGTGAGTTAGCGTTCTGTCACACATTGGCCCAGATGAGGCGTCCTGGGGGCACTGCTGGTTCTCCTGCCATCACAGAGGCCCTCTCACCTCCTTTCCTGGTCTCTTTACCACCCCTTCTCTCTATGCCTCTCCCCATCACCCACAGGGGGCTGCCATTCCCACCAGGACTCCTTCAGGTCTCAGCTTTTACCCTAGGTGGGATTATCAAACATGGGTTTCTCCTTAAGACAATTCTTAAGCCAGTCTCTTTCTCCATCTCCTGATCTGCCTCTCTAAATCTTGCTTCTCACAGTGTGGTCCCCGGACCAGCAGCATTGACATCACCTGGGAGCTGGTGAGGAATCCAGACTCTTAGGCCCTGCCGGGACCTGCTGAATCGGAACCTGCAATTTACCAAGACCTGTACACACATTACATGTGAGAAGCCCCCCCAGAGCTGTTCCACACTTGCTCCACTCCTCTCCCCAACATTCAGACCCACCTCTGGCTCTCTCATTTCCAGCAGACACCCTTCCTCTTACCCAGTGGAGAGGACTCAGGGAATCTTGGCAGAACCCTGCTGGCACCATCAGCGGCGTATGCTCCTCCTCGTTTCTGTCTTTTCACCCGTTCTCTTCTCTCGGTCTTCCACTGTGGAGATGGATGTGGAACCTTTTTGCTTAGTCCTGTCTTCTGCCTTTCCTGAGATTACCCCACCGATCTCCTGTTTGTGTCTCAATATGTTCTTTTCTCTGCTCAGATCTCCCCATTCTTAAAAGAACTGTCCCCTCCTCCTCGCCTCCTTCTTCAATTTCTGCCCCTCCTGTGTCTGAGACCGTTCACAGGAACGCTCTGCCAAGGATGCCTGACTGGCCCCCAGCAAGCCACTCCTGGGGCCCTTGTGTGCTGGCTCCCTTCCAGCCCTGCCTTCCTGCTTCTGCTCTCAGACTCCGTGGTCTCTCTTGGGCTTCAGGGCCTGGGACCTCCTGGCAGCAGTGGGCTACCCCACCCCCCAACCCCACACACACGGGAAACCACCCTGGTGACCAGATATATATATATATATATATATACACATATATATATGCATGTGTATGTATTTACACACACCTGGGAAATATATATATCTGGTGTATATATATTTACACACACCTGGGAAACTGCCCTGATGACCAGAGCACACTGTCTTTCTCCTCTGCCCTCTGAGCACCTCAAGCTGCTGTGCCTGGCGCTCTTCTTCTGTTCTCCCCTCACAGAATTCACGTTCCTCCACAGTCTCAGAGAACATCTTTGAGGAAATGGTCTCCCCATATGGGACTCTCACTTCTGTCAGTCCTGAACATCAGTGGGTGAGGACAGGGCTGGGCTTGGCCCTCAGAGAGGAGAGGAGCACCTGCCTCCGGGGAGGGTCCCTATCCCAAGAGGCTCTGTCCCTAGGCTGGGATGGGGCTTCTTGGTCTCCACAGGTTCACTCTCCACCAGCCAGCTCTTCTTCCTGACTCCCCTGTGTCTGTGCTGGGCACCTCCTCCTGCTGCCCACCAGGCTTGGAGTTTGGGAATCATCTCCAATACTTTTCTCTCCCTGTCCTGCAGCTACCTGTTTGTTTGGTCTTAACGGGTCCCCCTTCCCTTTCCTCCCTACCCCAGTGCCCACAGAGAATATCTAACAGCAAAACGTACTTTTCCTCCACTGGACTCCACCCTGGCTTGGAGCAGATATGGAATTCCCAGTTCTGCCCACAGCCTCCTCCCTTAGCTCCCGTCCCCAGCTGCTCACCCCCAAACACCCCCATCCTCCTGCCACAGTTTTAAAAAGTGTTGCTTGGATTGGGCCATCGCCTGCTTAGAAACTTAAATGTCTTTTGTGGCTTCTCAAATAAACATTTAGGCCCTTAGTTTGGGAACATTCTAGGCCCTTTGATGCCCTATCCAATTTCTCTTGCCGGCCAGCCTTACCTCCACTCCCTTGCTGTGTGAGTTTCTTGCTTATCCAGCATGGGAGATCACACCGTTTCCCAAACCCAGCTCCCTGTCTCCCAGCTCCAGCCTTCATGCTGGCTGGCCCTTCCTGCCGGAATGCCCTCACTTTGCAGCATTCCTTTTTGTGATGGTTGAAGTGATTTGGTTGGAGTGCTTTTCATTCTGGAAGGTTGTCCCCAAGATAGATTGGGGGATAGATGCTCAGAATTAACCTGCGCAGAAGGTGGAATCAGTCAGCCCAGGAAAGTGGCACTGAGTTAAGGCTCAGTCATAGCTGGGGCAGACTCCCAACTTGCGTGGGTTTCTGTTCTATCCTAACCACATGGAACAGAAAACCAGCCAGGATGGTGTTTGAGGCTTCCCAGAGCCTGCAGCCCCAGAGAAGGGCTCCTGGGTTAGAGCTGCTGAACCAAGGGGTGATGAAGGGAGGAAGGTCAATGAGCAGTTCTGGGGCAGCACTTGGGGGTCAGAGGTGAGTGTCTCTGCTTTAGATCCAGGTGAAAGTCTGTTGTTTCTTGGAACCCTCTGTGCGCTTTTATTTTGCATTAGTTATCTTATTTTTTAACCTTTTATTTATTTATTTTTTTAGAGTCAGGGTCTCACCCTGTCACCCAGGCTGGAGTGCAGTCGCGCGATAATAGCTCACTGCATCCTCAAACTCCTGGGCTCAAGTCCTCCCTCCTTAGCCTCTCAAGTAGCTGGGATTGCAGGTGTGCACCACCATGCCTGGCTAATATATATTTTTTTTTTTTGAGACAGAGGTCTTGCTATGTTGCCCAGGCTGGTCTCGAACTCTTGGCCTCAAGTGATCCTCATGCCTTGGCCTCCCAAAGTGCTGGGATTATAGGTGTGAGCCACTGTGCCGGCCATGCATTATTTATCTTAGTTCCTTTGTATATTGTCCCGTTCCAACTGCTGCATCTTCTCCATGAGAAAGGAATTTGGTGGGTGGGGTGGGGCGAAGTGCTCCAACTGTGGCCACAGAGAGCTACAGGGGTGGTGATGACAGAGGAAGCGTGGTGCACGCCTGCAGAGAATGCCACTCTTTTCTGGCAGGGGCTCACCACAAACCCTTAGGCCAGAGCCTTGGGTCTCATTCTACCCTTTCATTGTGCTCATGTCCACGAGAAGGGCTTTTTTGTGAGTGGCCAGTGCTAGAGAGTGAGCAGATAATGAAACCCAGGTGGCGCCCTTATGAGCTCACAGTCAGGTGGCAGGAGACTCATGAATGCTCAATGTCACTCTGGAGTGACCTGGGCTGTTACAGAAGCGGAGCAAGTCCTGGGACAAGCACAGAAAAAGGGCCTGAGCCTGAAGGTGAGGAGGGGCCCGGGAGCAGCTTGTGTAAGGACTAGCAGAGCGGAATGAATGGGTTTGCTGCACTTCCTTCAAGGTGGAGGTTTTAGCACCCAGCACCGGGAGGGTCATGCTGGTGCCTAACATGCCATGCTAAGGAGTTTGGACATTTTTTCTGTAGGTCTAGTCATAAAACAATGTTTTTTTTTTTTACATCAGCAGAACTCCCCCACGCCTCCGCCGCCTTAAGCGGGTGCAAACCGTATAAAACAGATAGGAAGTGGTGAGTTAGGCTGAGGCGCGCTTGGCCACGCTGTGTGTTGGGCCATAGCGCCCCCCGGAGGCCCCAGAGTGTGATGCCGGCACTTGGATCCACTTCCTGTCAGATCCCCGATGGTAATTAAAATGAAAGGAGGAATACAAAAACTAAAGCGCGCATTAATTATGGCAATTCTCATAGTTCCATGAAGAAATCCAGAATGACAAGGGCCATCCAAGAAGGTGGTCTGGTAGGTATGCGCCAGCTCTGGGCCTTCCTCGCTGTTGATTCCTGAGGCCTCTTCAATTGCTTCAAGAAAACCCCACACCACAAGTATTAGTCTTGCCTTAGGATCCATTCCATCCCACATCTAGGCCCAGTTATTCAATCTTGAATAATAAAACAATAGGAGCTATCGTGGTGGACCCTTTGGCAGGAGAGTCGAGCTCCTATCCCCAGGCTCTGGGATCATTGGTCCTGGTTGTTCACACACCTGCCAATCACAAACCACTTCAAAGACACCCGGTCTCAATGCCCATTGAGGAAGAGGAAGGGGACCGTTTTCCCAGTGCAGCAAGCTATGCCCACTCCCTGCTATTTTGCAGAGCACGGCTGTTCCCTGCAGTCTCAAACCTAAAACTGCAGCAGCACCCAACACTATCCCTGACGGCTGCCCCTTAGCTACTCATAGGCAATGGCAACAATTTTGAAATATTATATACACACACACACACACACATATATATATATATTTACCGGTGGGGCAAGATCAAATTCATTTTCAAATTGTTGGGGAGGGCCAGGCGCGGTGGCTCACGCCTGTAATCCCAGCACTTTGGGAGGCCAAGGAGGGTGGATCATTTGAGGCCAGGAGATCGAGACCAGCCCAGCCAACATGGCAAAAACCCGCTTCTACTGAAAAAAACAAACAAAATGAAACAAAAACAATACAAAGAAAACAAAAATTATCCGGGTGCAGTGGCATGTGCCTCTAGTCCCAGCAACACAGGAGGCAGGGGCTCAGAACTACTATAGAGTACTTGAAATAAATAAGTAAAAGCTCAGCGCAGTTAAATTCCAAGTACATGGGGAGCAAACCTGAGTTCAAGTTACTTGGTTTAAATCAATGTCTCGCCACTGGCGTAAATTGAACTTCAGTACTATGGCTACATTGTCTTCATTCTCACTTGACCCAACATCCGGTTGGCAGTAGGTGCGTTTATTCTAGATCACGTTTGAGTCTCTTTTTTTTTTTTTTTTTTGAGATGGAGTCTCGCTCCCGTCGCGCAGGCTGGAGTGCAGTGGCACGAGCTAGGGTCACTGCAACCTCCACCTCCCGGGTTCAAGTGATTCTCCTTCCTCAGCCTCCCGAGTAGCTGGGATTATAGGAGTGGGCCACCACGCCTGGCTAATTTTTGTATTTTTAGTAGAGACGGGGTTTCGCCATGTTGGCCAGGCTGGTCCCCACCTTCTGACCTCAGGCGATCCACCCACCCTGGCCTCCCAAAGTGCTGGGATTACAGGCATGAGCCACCGCGCCTGCCTTGAGTTTCCTAAAATGCTGAACTTAAGTCAGAATCCCATCTCTGCCACTCACTGGATTTGTAAACTTATACTGAGCCTCAGTTTCCCATCAAATGAGAATGATAGCACACAGTTGTGAAGGTGAAATAAAATTAAACACGAGGAAAACAATTTTACAAACTTTTGAACACTATACCTGTGTAAGGTTGCTATTCTGGGCGTTCAGCACCTTGGGTTTTCCTGTGGAAGTGGGAAAGATATATAACTGTCTTTGTTGGAGACATTAAGCAGCTTATTTCATTTTCCAAATAGATACTAGGGACAAATATTTATACTTAAACTATTACATTAAAAGCAAAAAAGCAAGAGCATAATATTTAAAAAAAAAAAAAGCATGAGAAGTGCTTGAACCCAGGAGGAAGAGGCTGTTACAGTGAGCCAATCGTGCCACTGCACTCCAGCCTGCGCAACAGAATGAGACTGTCTCAAAAAACAAAAACAAAAACCCAAATTGCTGGGGAGGTAGGAGGAGGGTGGGGGAGTGGGGGTCTAGAAGAAAGGAAACTATTATCCTTGAGGTAGAGCAGGGTGCGGTAGGGGTAGGGGGTGAGGGGAATATAGGGTAGGCAGGAGGGAGCTATTTTTCCCCTTGTCCCGGGTGAAGTGGGGAGAGGACTTGGCAGAGGCTGATTCTCCATGAGGCTTAATCTTCAGGCTTTCATCTACACCGGCCCCTTCCAAGGACCCTCGAATATTCCTCGTGACAGGTTCACATGGTTACATATAATTGTGTATTCATAATTTTGTATTCTTCTTAAGGAGTTACTCCTCCAATTGTATAAGCTTCAGGTCTCCCAAAATCTAGATCTTCTGGTGGGACCTGGAGTTGGGTAGGAACAGTTCAGGTAAGAGATAATGAAGACCTAAACTAAAACAAGTTCAGTGGGGAGGGATGCGTTTCTTAATAGAAAAGTGCTATCATTTACTGGCCTGTAGCTCTTACAGATGAAGATGTTTGATTCTTTTCTTCTTTTCTGTATCCATAGTGCTGTGAATAGTCCTTGAAGGATAAATATTTGTGGATGAATACTTGTCTGGGAGGTAGAGGTCAGAAACTCATGATGGATTGCCTATGTGGGGTCCCACAGGGTGCCCCAAAGAGATGAGCTCCCAGCCGGGCGCGGTAGCTCATGCCTGTAATCCCACCACTTTGAGAGGCCAAGGCAGGTGGATCACCTGAGGTCAGCCTGGCCAACATGGTGAAACCCTGTTTCTACTAAAAATACAAAAAATTAGCTGGGTGTGGTGGCACGCACCTGTAGTTCCAGCTACTCAGGAGGCTGAGGCAGGAGAATTGCTTGAACCTGGGAAGTGAAAGTTGCAGTGAGCCCATATTGCGCCACTGCACTATAGCCTGGGTGACAGAGCGAGACTCTGTCTTAAAAAATAAAAATAAAAAGAGCCCCCCACACCTATCCCTTGTCACCTATCCCTACTCTGCTGTGTCACCCAGGCCTATTCCTGGTGTTGGGGAGAGAGGTCTTAAGCTCTCTCTTTCCTTAACCTTCAATGGCTGCTTGGCCTGGGGGAGCGAGGTCCTTGGAATGTGCCATGTGGTGGAAAGAACACCGGACTTGGGGTCTGGAGACCTGAACTCAGTAGGCAAGTTACTGACTTATTCTCAGCTGTAGTTACTTCATGGATAAGCCTGAGGTGCTGGTGGCCAAGTGATGCAACCGTAAGTGGTTAACAGCTTCCTCTTTTTTTTTTTTTTATTATACTTTAAGTTCTAGGGTACATGTGCACAACGTGCAGGTTTGTTACATATGTATACATGTGCCATGTTGGTGTGCTGCACCCATGAACTTGTCATTTACATTAGGTATATCTCCTAATGCTATCCCTCCCCCCACCCCACAACAGGCCCCGGGGTGTGATGTTCCCCTTCCTGTGTCCATGTGTTCTCATTGTTCAATTTCCACCTATGAGTGAGAACATGTGGTGTTTGGTTTTTTGTCCTTGCGATAGTTTGCTGAGAATGATGGTTTCCAGCTTCATCCATGTCCCTACAAAGGACATGAACTCATCATTTTTTTATGGCTGCATAGTATTCCATAGTGTATATATGCCACATTTTCTTAATCCAGTCTGTCATTGTTGGACATTTGGGTTGGTTCCAAGTCTTTGCTGTTGTGAATAGTGCCGCAATAAACATACCCATGCATATGTCTTTATAGCAGCATGATTTATATTCCTTTGGGTATATACCCAGTAATAGAATTGCTGGGTCAAATGGTATTTCTAGTTCTAGATCCCTGAGGAATTGCCACACTGACTTCCACAATGGTCGAACTAGTTGACAGTCCCACCAACAGTGTAAAAGTGTTCCTATTTCTCCACATCCTCTCCAGCATCTGTTGTTTCCTGACTTTTTAATGATTGCCATTCTAACTGGTGTGAGATAGTATCTCATTGTGGTTTTGATTTGCATTTCTCTAATGACCAGTGATGATGGGCATTTTTTCATGTGTCTGTTGGCTGCATAAATGTCTTCTTTTGAGAAGTGTCTGTTCATATCCTTTGCCCACTTTTTGATGGGGTTGTTTGTTTTTTTCTTGTAAATTTGTTGGAGTTCTTTGTAGATTCTGGATATTAGCCCTTTGTCAGATGAGTAGATTGCAAAAATCTTCTCCCATTCTGTAGGTTGCCTGTTCACTCTGATGGTAGTTTCTTTTGCTGTGCAGAAGCTCTTTAGTTTAATTAGATCCCAGTTGTCAATTTTGGCTTTTGTTGCCATTGCTTTTGATGTTTTAGACATGAAGTCCTTGCCCATGCCTATGTCCTGAATGGTATTGCCTAGGTTTTCTTCTAGGGTTTTTATGGTTTTAGGTCTAACATTTAAGTCTTTAATCCATCTTAAATTAATTTTTGTATAAGGTATAAGGAAGGGGTCCAGTTTCAGCTTTCTACCTATGGCTAGCCAGTTTTCCTAGCACCATTTATTAAATAGGGAATCCTTTCCCCATTTCTTGTTTTTGTCAGGTTTGTCAAAGATCAGATAGTTGTAGATGTGTGGCATTATTTCTGAGGGCTCTGTTCTGTTCCATTGGTCTATATCTCTGTTTTGGTACCAAATCAATAAACATAATCCAGCATATAAACAGAACCAACGACAAAACCACATGATTATCTGAATAGATGCAGAAAAGGCTTTTGACAAAATTCAACAACTCTTCATGCTAAAAACTCTCAATAAATTAGGTATTGATGGGACGTATCTCAAAATAATGAGCTATTTATGACAAACCCACAGCCAATATCATACTGAATGGACAAAAACTGGAAGCATTCCCTCTGAAAACTGGCACAAGACAGGGATGCCCTCTCTCACCACTCCTATTCAACATAGTATTGGAAGTTCTGGCCAGGGCAATCAGGCAGGAGAAGGAAATAAACGGTATTCAATTAGGAAAAGAGGAAGTCAAATTGTCCCTGTTTGCAGATGACATGATTGTATATCTAGAAAACCCCATCGTCTCAGCCCAAAATCTCCTTAAGCTGATAAGCAACTTCAGCAAAGTCTCAGGATACAAAATCAATGTGCAAAAATCACAAGCATTCTTATGCACCAATAAGAGACAAACAGAGCCAAATCATGAGTGAACTCCCATTCACTACTGCTTCAAAGAGAATAAAATACCTAGGAATCCAACTTACAAGAGATGTGAATGACCTCTTCAAGGAGAACTACAAACCACTGCTCAACGAAATAAAAGAGGATACAAACAAATGGAAGAACATTCCATGCTCATGGATAGGAAGAATCAATATCGTGAAAATGGCCATACTGCCCAAGGTAATTTATAGATTCAATGCCATCCCCATCAAGCTACCAATGACTTTCTTCACAGAATTGGAAAAAACTACTTTAAAGTTCATATGGAACCAAAAAAGAGCCTGCATTGCCAAGTCAATCTTAAGCCAAAAGAACAAAGCTGGAGGCATCACGCTACCTGACTTCAAACTATACTACAAGGCTACAGTAACCAAAACAGCGTGATACTGGTAACAGCCTCCTCTTAAAAAATAAACTTGCTTTGTAGCATTTGCTGAATTTGTGGTGACTACACATTCCTACCATGGCTGATTTCAAACTACTAATGTGATATCACTGAACATGTTAGGAGAGACACACCATAGCCTCTTCAGAGCCTGAGCAATCCGATTCCAGCACACTCCTGTGTGGGTCTCAAGGACTAGGGTCTTACTTTATTTGAACAAAATGTTGGATGACGGACTCCCATATTCTGTGCCAAGCTGTATATGGGAAATTCTGTCTTCTTCCTCTTCCTCTTCTTCTTCTTCTTCTTCTTCTTCTTCTTCTTCTTCTTCTTCTTCTTCTTCTTCTTCTTCCTCTTCTTCCTCTTCTTCTTCCTCTTCTTCCTCTTCTTCTTCCTCTTCTTCTTCCTCTTCTTCTTCCTCTTCTTCTTCTTCCTCTTCCTCTTCTTCTTCTTCTTTTCTTCCCCTTCTTCTTCCCCTTCTTCTCCTTCTTCCCCTTCTTCCCCTTCATCCGCTTCTTCCCCTTCGTCCCCTTCTTCCCCTCTCTTCTTCTTTCTTCTTCTTCTCCTTCTCCTTCTCCCTTCTTCTCCCTTCTTTCTTCCTTTTTTTTTTTTCAAATGCAGAGTCTCACTCTGTTTGCCCAGACTGGAGTGCAGTGGCTCGATTTTGGCTCACTGCAGCCTGGACCTCTGGGCTCAAGCGATCCTCCTGCCTCAGCCTCCTGAGTAGCTTGGACTACAGGGGTGTACCATCACACCTGGCTGATTTTCTAAAAAAATTTTTATAGGCCAGGAGCGGTGGCTCATGCCTGTAATCCCAGCACTTTGGGAAGCCGAAGCAGGTGGATCCTCTGAGGTGAGGAGTTCAAGACCAGCCTGGCCAACATGGTGAAACCCTGTCTTTAAAAATACAAAAAAATTACCTGGGGTGGTGGTGGGCACCTGTAATCCCAGCTACTTGGGAGGCCGAGGCAGGAGAATCACTTGAACCTGGGAGGCGGAGGTTGCAGTGAACCAAGATCGCATAATTCTGCTCCAGCCTAGGCAACAAGAGCAAAACTCCATCTCGAAAAAAAAACAAAACAGTTTTTTTTGTAGTGACAGGGTCTTGCCAAGTTGCCCAAGTTGGTTTCAAGCTCGTGGGCTCAAATAATCCCCCTGCGCTGGCCTCCCAAAGTGCTGAGATTATAGGCATGAGCCATTGCAGCCAGCCCAGCTGTTCTTTTTGCTGGTAAGATCATTTTATGTGGGCAAGATGTATGTGGATGATCACTTTGGCCCAATATCCATCTTTGTTTTTAATTAAAAAATTATTTGCCTTTTTAAAATTATGACATAATTGACAGCAAAGTACCCAGATATTACATGCGCATGTTGGTAAATTTTTACACACATATACACCCATATAACCAACCATTCAGATTAAGATACAGGGCATTTTCAACATCCCCAAATCCTCTCTGGTGCCTACTCCCAGTGAACACTTGCCGCTCAAGAGGTAACCCCCTCCTGATTCCTTGCACCATAAACTAGTTTTTCTCATTCTTGAAGTTCATGTAAATGACATCATGCATTATGTAGTTTTTAAATATCTGGCTTTCACTCATCATTACCTGTGAGATTTATCCACGTTGTTGTGTATAAGAGTGTAATTCATTTGTTTTCATTCCTAGGTAGTATTCCTAGCACAAACTTTCAATAGTTTTAACTTTTTTTGTTGTTGTTGTTGTTGAGATGGAGTCTCGCTCTGTCGCCCAGGCTGGAGTGCAGTGGCGCGAACTCAGCTCACTGCAAGCTCCGCCTCCCAGGTTCACGGCAGTCTCCTCTCTCAGCCTCCTGAGTAAGTGGGACTACAGGCGCCCGCCACAATGTCTGGCTAATTTTTGTATTTTTAGGAGGGACGGGGTTTCACCATGTTAGCCAGGATGGTCTCGATCTCCTGACCTCGTGATCCACCCGCCTCGGCCTCCCAAAGTGCTGGGATTACAGGCGTGAGCCACCGCGCCCAGCCAGTTCTAACTTATTAAAACTTTTTTATGCTTCTCATGCCTGCTTTTGTCTCTCAACTCTGAAACTGTGGATCCCACTGGCCACATACTCAGTCCCATAATGCTCTATTTCTCCTTGGCCCTGACCTATCCTCTACCACTTCACCTCCAACATCTGCCATGCCCTTCAGAATCCCATCTGTAAGGCAGTGGCTTACAGATGCAAGCACTTCTGGAGGCCAAGGCAGGCAAATCGCTTGAGCTCAGGAGTTTTAGACCAGCCTGGCCAAATGGTGAAACTCTGTTGCTCCAACAAATTAGCCAGGCCTGGTGATACATGCCTGCAGTCCCAGCTACTCGGGAGGTTGAGGTCAAAAAAAAAAAAAAAAAAGAATCCCCTCTGCAAAATTAACCAACTTCCTCATATTTTCAACATTTCTTTTAAAACTTTCTCTCACCACCAGCCTTAACTGAAACCTGAATGACACCTGTTATGGAATGAATGTTTGTCTCCCTTAAATGCATATGTTGAAATCCTAACCCCCTAATTAACTGTATTTGGAGATAAAGGCTATGAGGAGGCCGGGCGTGGTGGCTTACACCTATAATCCCAACACTTTGGGAGGCTGAGGCGGGCAGATCATGAGGCCAGGAGATTGAGACCATCCTGGCTAACACAGTGAAACCCTGTCTCTACTATAAATACAAAAAATTAGCCGGGCGTGGTGGCGGGCACCTGTAGTCCCAGCTACTTAGGAGGCTGAGGCAGGAGAATCACTTGAACCTGGGAGGCGGAGGTTGCAGTGAGCCGAGATCACGCCACTGCACTCCAGCCTGGTGACAGAGCGAGACTGTCTCAAAAAAAAAAAAAAAAAAAAAAAAAAAAAAAAAAAAGGCTATGAGGAGGTGATAAAGGCTGAAATGATAAAGGTCATAAGGGTGGATCCCTATCCGATAGGTCTAGTGCCCTTATGTGAAGAGGAAGGGACACTAAAACTCTCAATCTCCACTATGTGAGGACACAATGAGAAAGTGACCATGTGCAAGCCAGGAAGACAGCCCTCACCAGGACCCAAATCAACTGGTACCTTGATCTGCGACTTCCCAGCCTCCAGAACTCTGAGAAAATAAATTTCTGTTGTTGAAGCCACCCAGTCTATGGCGTTTTGTGATGGTAACCTGAGCCAACTAAGACAACATCCAAGGATGCCTTTTTGCCTAAGGCATTCTCTAGCAGTTACTGTTTATTCTCTTTCACTTTGCTACATATAAATATCTTGGATTGTATTTTGCCCTCCTTTCAAGATAAGTTACTTTGTTACTGTTTCATGAATGCTGGCAGAAGACAGGAGATTCCTAGATTAGAGACAAAGCAAAGCATATTAACACAGCATAGCAAGTAGCAAAAGCACCCTGTTTGTATCAGCTCCCCTTGTTCCCTAAGTTCCACAAGGAAAATGGGAAGGAGCCTTATGGATTCTGTGCATGCACTGGGTTTGTGCCCCACGTGAGGAACATTGAGCCTGGGGAACCCCCTCTTTCATAGACAGCAGTAAGCAAGTCTGCTCTTTGTCCTGGAGAGAGATATTAACCTCATTCCTCAAGGTGGCTTACTGCAATGCACGACCCTGAGAAACAGCCCAGGAAAGAGGGGTCAGGGCCTTGTAGTCTTGGCATACTCAGTAAAAATGTGCTGGGACGTTCAGGGCCTCTGACAGCTTTCCTCTCCCAATAATTGACCTTACACATTCTTGGCCAAAGTGGAATATTCCCATGAGTATACCACTCCATCTGCCACTCCAATCAATCTGATCACCCTAGACTGGGACCAAATTTGCTCAATTTGTCTCATACAGAATTTACTACCAATAGAACCTCAAGCAAGATGAGGCCAACCAACAGTATTGGCTTCAACAATGCCACCCGGCGTCTCAGACTCAGTCACCTGTGAATAAGTCTCAAGGGGATCAGTAGGCCTTAGTAGGCCAGGATACAGTCTAAGGCCAGGTCATTATCCATTACAACCTGCATAAGTGAGTTCTAGACTAATCTACTGGTCCTCAATGTCATCGCCAGTAATTATATGAAGTGATAGATGGGCCAAAAGCAACCCTCATCCCTAATGGAGAGACATCACATGGCCCACATACAAACATACACCCAACAGGTTACGTGTTACTTGAATTCAGAATTTGTTGTTGATTCTGATTTGGATTATCATTACACTGGTTTGGTTTAGCCACATGGATGGTGTCACCTAACGCTTGCATCCTCAGACACCATACATGAACCAAAGCCACGTGGGTGACAGGAAAAGTGCCTGTGTTTGTACCAATCAGACAAACAAGGTTGTGCTGGATGGTGTGTTTGTGCATGTATGGGGTAAGGGGAGGTTCCATATTTGGGAGCTGCCATTGATGGCTGGCAAAGGCCACAACTGAATAGCCAGGACTGGCCACCTCCTTATGAATTCCCCTGTTTTCATAGCATGCAGGCAGCATGATAAATCCAGAAAGGGTAAGACTGTCAGCTGCAGCTGCTGCTCAACTCAGATGAACGAGATGATGGTTTTTCTAGGTTTCAATGCTGGATCTAGGGGACAAAGAGCACATTGATCATTCTCCACTGTTTGCACCTGCTGGCATCTAAGGTGTCTTCTCGCAGGCTTCCTGGCTATGAAAGCAGCATATCTCATTCCAGTAGCCATAACTTCATCATTTCTCCGATCTTTCCCTACTCATACCCAGACCTTTTGTCTGCTAGAGCGAGGCGTGAGTGAGACAAGGACATTTTTACAAAATTTACAGACATCCATTGTATCTCGCACCTTGGCCTATATGAGCCAGTGTGAGAGAACTTGGCAAGGAATGTACTCAACCAGTGTACTCAATTTGGCAAGCAATTGTATTCAATGAGTACACTGATCTGGGATCAGGTTAATCTGTCAAGAGAATCCAAGTGGCTAAACCAGAATTAGAGATAAGTTTGAATCCCCTAAGTCCCCTTTTGCCGGGCTGACACCTGGAGGGTGCACCAAGCAGGCTGGTGTGGGGTTGCTGTTGGGTTAGGGGTGGGAGAGGAAAGAAAAAAGAAGCACCATGCTCCCAACTTTTCAGAATAGATCTATATAACCCTCCACCTGTTTTCATCCTGATCAGTACCCAGGAAGTGGCTGAAAGGAGATGATCTTTGGAGATAGCTGCATTCAGTGATCATACTGCCTCGCTGAAGTATGTGGCCCAGAAGGAGTTGATGGAGGTAGTCAGAAGCTTTGGAGGAGGCCATTCCAGTGCTCAATAATACCAGATACTAGCAGATGGTAGGGAGCCTAGCATGTCCATCGAATACTTTGACTACTGGCCCATTGTTGGGCGGCTTTTGCAATAAAAGGTGCATCACTGTCAGACTGTAGGTGGTCTGAGAATCCAAAAACTTGACATGACTTAGTTTCAGGGGCCAAAATAGTGTGACTGGGGCCCCAGACTCTATTCAGACTAGAACAGACAAGAACAGCAACATTGTAACCTGAAAACGTTCTGACAGAAGTGAGGCACCAATGACACAGCCTGGGGAGGGGGTCAGCTATCTGATATCTGGACAATCATCCAGGAGCAACTGGGGGCAATACTCTGTGTGCAATGCGGCCTCCTTCCCTGCAAGACAAATGGCTCAAATTTTGGGAGGCACCACAGCTCTGGTATGTAGTGGTGTCTTCTGCATCAGAAACACATAGTTGTTTTGTTGTTGTTGTTATTGTTTTTTGAGACAGAGTCTCACTGTGCAGTGATGCGATCTCGGCTCACTGCAACTTCTGCCCCCCAGGTTCAAGCGAATCTCCTGCCTCAGCCTCCCAAGTAGGTGGGATTACAGGCGCCTGCCACCACACCTGGCTACTTTTTGTAGTTTTAGTAGAGATGGGGTTTCACCATGTTGGCCGGGCTGGTCTCAAACTCCTGACGTCAAGTGATCCGCCTGCCTTGGCCTCCCAAAGTACTAGGATTACAGGTGTGAGTCACTGCGCCTGGCCTGAAACAGTTTTTGATTTTGTGCTCAGTCCACGATGGTGAATGTGTTGTTATGTCTTGTTCGATGACGGATCTAGGTGGTGATGGTGGTGGTATGGGCAGTGAAGTCTGGATCAGCAGCTTGACTACAGTTTGTCTCATTAGAGAAGGGCCCTTACCATGGGCATCTCTGTGAGTAACTTGGGCATCTGATTGGCAGCTGAAATTATTTCCACAATATGCAGCTGCAATAGGGAATGTCTTTAATCTTCCAGTCTTGTGGGCAAGATAGCTAGGCCATTGGCAACCACACAAAAGGCAGTAAAAATGTAGAAGGGTTCATCACGGGGAGTATTGGCCAGAACTATCAGCACTCCCTTGAGCTCTGTCCATTGAGTGGAGCAGTCATGCTTGCTTTTTTTAAAAAATTATTATTTATTATTATTTTTTTAAATTTGAGATGGAGTCTCGCTCTGTTGCCTAGACTGGAGTGCAATGGCGCGATCTCGGCTCACTGCAACCTCCGCCTCCTGAGTTCAAGCAATTCTCTTCCCCTAGCCTCCCAAGTAGCTGGGATTACAGATGCACGCCACCACGCCCGGCTAATTTTTGTATTTTTAGTAGAGACGGGGTTTCACCACGTTGACCAGGCTGATCTGGAACTCCTGACCTCAAGTGATCCACCCGCCTCGGCCTCCCAAAGTGCTGGGATTACAGGCGTGAGCCACCACGCCCAGCCCATGCCTGTTTTTGGTTCTGCATAGCTGGTGCTGAGGTTGAACGTGGACACTATAAGGTGTCAGCCTAGCCAAACCATCATTGTACCAGGCCAGGTGCCTAGGGAACCCTCTGTGACTTGAGGGCCCCATTGAGCCAGCAGCTTTGCTTCAAGTGGTGAAGTTAGGAAAAGATTTCCCCTGAAGGGATTTTTGCTGCCACTTTTTCATGTAAAACCCAGCTAATATTAGGACCAGGCCAGCTGTGTTACTGAATACAGTATTTCCATTGGATTAATAATGCCTTTTGTGCCCCTCCCTTAGTAGCCACCAAATCCAAGTTGACCCATCCCAAAATGGGAGTGTCAGTTTGGAGAGTCACAGGAACTTTTTGGGTCAGTAACAAGTTAGTGGGCACCTTTTTAAAAAGGGGATGGGGGCCTGGCATGGTGTTTCATGCCTGTAATCCCAGCACTTTGAGAGGCCGAGGAGGGCAGGTCGCTTGAGGTCAGGAGTTCAAGATCAGCCTGGCCAACATGGTGAAACTCTGTCTCTACTTAAAAACAACCACCAAACAAAAAAGCCAGGTGTGGTTGCGCATGCCTGTAGTCCCAGTTACTCGGGAAGCTGAGGCAGGAGAATAGCTTGAACCTGGGAGGTGGAGGTTGCAGTGAGCTGAGATCATGCCACTGCACTCCAGCCTGGCAGCCGGGGAGACAGAGCAAGACTCTGTCTTAATAAAATAAAGTAAAATAAAATAAAATAAAATAAAATAAAATAAAATAAAATAAAAAAGAGGGGATGGGGCCGGATGTGGTGGCTCAGGCCTGTAGTCCCAGGGCTTTGGGATTATGGAGGGAGGATCACTTGAAGCCAGGAGTTCAAGACCAGCCTTGGGAACAAAGCAAGATCTCATCTCTACAAAAATGTATTTTTAAAATTAGCTGGCATGGTACGTGGTGGCAGGCACCAAGCTACTCAGGAGGCTGAGTGGGGAGGATTGCTTGAGCCCAGGAGTTCCAGGCTGCAATGAGCTGTGATTGTGCCACTGCATTCCAGCCTGGGCGACAGAGAGAGACTGTCTCAAACAAAAAAGGGGGATGGGGGAGGGATGGGGCCAGGTGTGGTGGGATGGAAGGATCACCTGAGGGCAAGGAGTTTAAGACCAGCCTGAGAGACCACGTCTATGAAAAATTTTGTAAAATTAGCCGGGCATGGTAGCTCACAGTTGTCGTTCCAGCTGCTCAGGACAGTGAGGTGAGAGGATGGCTTGAGCCCAGGAATTCAAGACTGCAGGGGGCTCTGATGGTGTCACTGCACTCTAGCCTGGGTGACAGATCAGCAACCACTCTCTAAACAATTTTTTTTTTTTTAGGCCGAGTCTCGCTGTCACCCAGGCTGGAACGCAGTGACGTGATCTCAGCTCACCACAACCTCCGCCTCCTGGGCTCAAGCAATTCTCCTATCTCAGCCTCCGGAGTAGCTGAGACTACAGGCGCATGCCATCATGCCCGGCTAATTTTTGTATTTTTAGTAGAGACAGGGTTTCACCATATTGGTCAGGCTGGTCTTGAACTCCTGACCTCAGGTGAACCACCTGCCTCGGCCTCCCAAAGTGCTGGGATTACAGGCGTGAGCCACTGCACCTGGCCTCTAAACAATTTTTTTAAAGCTATGTGCTTGGTGAGTGTGTCAGGCAGGTGGTGCTATTGTGCTTGAGAACAGCCTCTGAGTAATCTGGCCACCTTTGAGACTAATTTTCAGATTTCCCTTTTCCTTCCTGATTTTTTTTTTTTTTTTTTCAGATGGAGTCTTGCTCTGTCGCCCAGGCTGGAATGCAGTGGCACGATCTCGGCTCACTACAACCTCTTCCTCCTGGGTTGAAGCGATTCTTCTACCTCAGCCTCCTGAGTAGCTGGGATCACAGGCGCCCGCCACCACGGCCGGCTACTTTTTGTATTTTTAGTAGAGACCAGGTTTCACCATGTTGGCCAGGCTGGTCTCAAACACCTGACCTCGTCATCTCCCAGCCTCAGCCTCCCAAAATGCTGGGATTACAGGCATGAGCCACTGCACCTGGCCTCCCTCTTGAAAGTCTAAACTGTTTCTCCTGGACCATCTAAGAGGGTTCAGAAACCACCTTTCCACATGTGGCAGTCTCTGAAAGGGCGAATCCCATCTGACACTTATGGGCATTGGCAGTACAGGCCGGTATGAGCATCAATACCAGTAATACATTTGCAGTGAAAGCCACTGAATTGGCCCAAGGGCCCCACATGGAGCGTTACTTAATTTGCCTTCTTCCACTGCAAACTTTGCTCAAAGCCTATCAGTTGAACTTGGGGGATTTTTTACCTTCTGGGAAAACAAACCAAGGTGTTTAGTGTGTGCACATCAGGAGCAAAAGCAACAGCTGCCGGGAGCTCAGGCTAGCTCACAGGGTGCAGCTAGGAGGCTTTTATTTCTCCTTGGCCCCTGGCTTCAGGGTTGGCATTGCTGCTGCTTCCTCTGTGTAGCTCCAGTGTCCATCCAGAGAGTTCCCAAGCCCCGAGGCCCCTTTCATTTTGTCCCCAGTCCACACTGCAGTCCTGGGGTGGTGCCTTCAGCCATCTCTGCACCCATCCACGGAACTAGGTAAGATGGTGAATTGGGCACTTGGGCCCAACAGAGATATACAAGTTTTGAGGACTTTGCCTCCGTGAAGTTCCCCAGCATACTCAACTTTTTCATTACAACAGCTGAGCCAGACACGGTGGCTCACGCCTGTAATCCCAGCACTTTGGGAGGCCAAGGCAGGTGGATCGCTGGAGCCCAGGAGTTCAAGACCAGCCTGAGCAACATGGCGAAACCCCGGCTCTACAAAAAATAAGCCAGGTGTGGTGGTGTGCACCTGTGGTTCCAGCTATTAGCGAGGCTGAAGTGGGAGGATCACCTGAGCTCAAAAGGTCGAGGCTGCAATGAGCCGTGATCATGCCACTGCACTCCAGCCTGGGTGACAGAGCAAGACCCTATCTCAATAAATAAATTAATAAATTAAATAAAAGCAGCCGGAGGTGGAGTAGAGCGGGAATAGAGGGATTGGGGAACACAGGGGAGAGAGCGAGCCTGTGCCAGTGAGCAAGGCTTCCAGTGGCCACCTGTGGGGCTTATCCAAATACCTTGTAGTGTTTTGGGGTCACTGTGAAGCTCTGTATCAAACATGATGGCTGATACCATGTATTTCAGCTTTGGGGATTCTTTGACTCAGCAGCCACATCCATGTTGCCTTTTGAGTGCAGCTGTGGGGCTTGCTGCCCCCTTGTCATAACATCCCTTCCTCCTCCTGAGCAAGAAACGAAGCACCGTTTGAGTGGCTTGTTTCAACCCTACCTCTCGTTGCTTAAACTCATTAAGGTAGGACAGTGTGAGCTCCTTATCCTATCCACCCTACCCCTGCCACCCACCATTTGGGTGAGAGGATCCACTAACATATGCCAAGGAGTCTTTTCATATCCCCTAATCTGGTCCATAAGGTCCTTATCCTTCCTCTTCCAGAAAGTCATGTTTATCAGCAGCCTGTCCTCATTGCCAAAACTGTCAGGGCCTGGCATTTGAATTTTCCCTGCTGATGTGTGAATAATTCGCCTCTTACTGTTTCATGCATGCTGGCAAAGATGAGACTCCCGAGTCAGAGACAAAGGACTTTATTAAGGCACAGCAAGCAGCCTAGGCAGCATGTTTATATTGACTCCCTCGTCCCCCTGTCCCCTTGTCCTCCAGGGGGCAATGTGGAGGGCCCTGGTGGATGCTGTGGGTTTGTGTGGCATCTAGGGGAACACTGAGCTTGGGGAACCCACCCCTTTCACAGCAGGGAATAAGCAAGCCTGCTCTTTAGGAAGATAGTTCCTCATTCCTCAAGGTTGCTCCCTGCAAACACAAGCAATAATATACTTTAAGAATAAATACAGACTGGACGTGATGGCTCATGACTGTAATCCTAGCACTTTGGGAGGCTGAGGTGGGTGGATCACTTGAGGTCAGGAGTTCAAGACCAGCCTGGCCAACATGGTGAAACTTCATCTCTACTAAAAATACAAAAATTAGCCAGGTGTGGTGGTGCATGCCCATAATCCCAGCTACTTGGGAGGCTGAGGCAGGAGAATTGCTTGAACCTGGGAGGCAGAGGTTGCAGTGAGCTGAGATCGTGCCACTGCACTCCAGCCTGGGCGACAGAGTGAGACTCTGTCTCAAAAGAAAAAAAAAAGCAGAAATGCATAATATGATGTCTCGTAGTAACTGGTATAATTGAGAAAATAAAGCTGGGTCAAGGTGATAGGTATCAGCAGTTTCACTTGGCTTGACCTAATATATATGTGGGAATTTGGTATTTGACAGAATACTTTGGTAGAATTACTTATCTGGAAGAAAAAATAATGAATGATACTGGGCAATTAGCCTTGGAAAAATCATAAAGTTAGGGCTTTATCATTTATCTTTTGTAAAACTAAACTTCAGATAAACTAATCACTGAAACCACATAAATACACCACACTAGGAGAGCATTAGACAAAATATTGGAGAATATGCTTATCATCTTGAGGTAGACGAAGTCTTGTGAAACAATTTAGAGCCTAGAAGGAAAGGACCAGCACACTTCTGTTTCACATGGGAGGTAAGCAGAAATGGTGTGTGCAACTTCTGGGAAGTGCCAGTAAAGGTCTGTGGGCCTCTGCTCTTCTATTTCTCTGTCCTTCTTCCTGCCATTGGAATGCTGGAGCTGGAATAACCATCTTGGATCTTGAATGACCTTGGGAATGAAGGCCATGGGAGGTGGGCCAGCAAGATCATGAGTCTGTGCCTTGACACCATGCAGGCCCTTCCAGCCCTGGACCATTGATCACTGAATTTTTTTTTTTTAATTTTTGTAGAGGTAGAGGGTTCATTATGTTGCCCAGGTTGGTCTTGACCTCCTGGCTTCCTCTTGCCTCAGCCTCCCAAAGTTCTGAGATTACAAAAATGAGCCACTGCACTCAGCCTGCTGAACTTTTATGTGAGCAATAAATAAACTCCTCTCTTGTTTAGGCTTGGTATGTTGTATGTTGTCACTTGCAACTGAATATAATCCTCACTTATACACCTGCCCAGCCCTAGATGAAGGATCATGATTGGTGGAACCCAGTGGTTCTCAACTCTGGTCAGTTTTTAGAGTCATCCATGGAGCTTTTCAAAACAGCAGTGAATAGGCCCCATCCCAGACCAATTATATCAAAACCTCTGGAGGTGAAGCCCAGATAGGTATTTTTTAGAGCTCCCAGGTGATTGTAATGTGCAGCTAGGATGTGAAGTATTCGTTTAAGCCAATCAGGCAAATCTATTCCTCTCTTTCCTAGACTTCCTTGCAGTAGGAGCGGTCATGGATTTGGTTCTGGCCTGTGAGTCCTAAGAAACCTTCTGGGAATGTTTTTACATTTCTGATAAGAAGAAGTGGTTGTGGCTGGGACTGTTATTTCTTCTTTTCCATCTCTGAATGCAGAAGTGATGTCCAGAGCAACAGCAGTCATATTGTGACTATGAAGCACCAAGGATGAGGACATCAGACAACACACTAAGGCTGGCAGAGCAGAAGGGAAGACAGCCTGGATCCCTGGGGCATCACCAAGCCGCTAAACCATTCTCAGTAACTCCTTACCTTCAGAGGTGAGGGGGGAAAAACAACCCATATTTGTTTAATGAGTTTTCTGTTTATTGCAGAACATATTCATAACTGAAACATACACATGGTACAGGTGCTTTGTGAGCTCTTTGTGACATTCATCGTGTGTACAAAGAAAGATGTACAGTAAACTTGTCCAACCCACGGCCCAGGACGGCTTTGAATGCAGCCCAACACGAATCCGTAAAACTTTTGTAAAATACACGAGCTTTTTTTTCCTTTTTTTTTTTTTTTTTAGCTCATCGACTACCATTAGTGTTAGTGTATTTTATGTGTGGCCCAAGACAATTCTTCTTCCAATATGGGCCCAGGGAAGCTGAAAGATTGGACACCCTGATATAAAGATATGTACACAGCAATGTTGCTGATAATGGCCCAAACTAGAAACCACACTATCATCAATTTAAGAAAGGCTCAGGCCGGGCTCGGTGGCTCATGCTTGTAATTCCAGCACTTTGGGAGGCCGAGGCGGGTGGCTCACCTGAGGTCAGGAGTTTGAGACCAGCCTGGCCAACATGGTGAAACCCTGTCTCTACTAAAAATACAAAAAATTATCTGGGCGTGAGGCAAGAGAATCACTTGAACCCAGGAGGCGGAGCTTGCAGTGAGCCGATTTTGTGCCATTGCACTCCAGCCTGAGTGACAGAGTAAGACTCTGTCTCAAAAAAAAAGGCCCAATAAATTTAGTAAATTCATATTACGGAATAAAACAATGAGGCTGCTCATTCTCTAAGATATGGTGTCTTAGATCTCTAAGACATCTGAGATACAGTGTTGAGTGAAGAAGGTAAATTATAAAACAGTAAGTATATAGAGTATGAAACCATTTATTCCGACGCACACACTCATACACCAAAAACAATACTATATATTCTGTGTGTGTGTGTGTGTGTGTGTGTAAGAAAAGGGTTTTAAAGCGGACAACTAACTGATTCTGAGGTTAGGGCAAAAAGATTGGGGCTGTGAGTTGGTATGGTAAGAAAAAAATATATTTTAAAAAATATATATTTTTAAAAGAGGGTTATCTAATTAAAAGTACTAAAGCAAAATTCTATATTAAAACTAATGGAAAAAAAGAAGTGTTGCCTTTTAGGGGCTCTTTCTGGTAACTGATATCACCTCTCTCATTCTCTGCCATCTCTCATCTCCTGGTCTCTCTTGCTTATCAAGAGAAGACTATGTCACTTGGATCCCAGCTTTTCCCTGCCTCAGCTGAGGCCACTATCCTCGTTGACTCCCATGGTGACATGGATGCCTCATCAATATTGTGGGTTTGAGTCCTCATCTGCAGGGTCCTTGAGATCTCCTTGGCATCCACTCCCATTTCCTATCTGGGACTTCATTATCACCAGCATCTACTCCACCTCCAAAACCACTGGTGGAAGCAGCGTCCTCTCTTCCCATGTTACTTGCTCAACAACTCCCACAAGTACTACTCTTTGAATATTTTGGGGGGGTCTTTGATTCTTTCCTCAGCTGCCTGTTGATTAGATCTCTTCTGTCTTCACTTGCCTCCTGATCCCATTTTGCCAACACTCTCAACTCCCTTGTACCACTCTCTAGCAAAATATCACTTTTGGATGAACTCACTTTTGGTTTGCTCTCACCGTGAAATCACACACAATTGCACCACAATAAACTTCATGGTCACCAACCTCAACAGGGTGCTTAGTATTGCTCACAAAACTCTCTCTGTTTCTCTCGGACCTTGAACATGCACCAGTCCTACTTACTCACCAATCCTCACTATAACTCATCTCCTCAAATATATCTGCCCACCTCACTGTTCGTCAGCACGCTATGTTCACTGTCACCTCCGCAAGGTAGTGTCTGCCTTGGCCAGGTCCTCTTGGCAAGCTGGTGTATCCATTCCCCCAGTTGCTTCAGGTATTTGCCACTAACGGCTCAAAGCTTCCCCCTTCTCTGAAGGATTGGCCCTGGCCTATGCCATGCAGGGGCAAAGCAGGGTTGTTAAGCCTTGTCTCAAATCATGACAACCTTGAGTTGTCACTAATGCTCCAGAGCTCCCCAGGAGATGGGGCTGAGGTGGACTCTGGCTGAGGCCACATCTTGCTGAGCTCCTTCCCCTCCATATTCTGCTCATTCACCTTCTGATGTGTTTCTCCTGAGAGCACTCCTTCAACAGGTCAATTGCATAGAATCCCTGTCTTGGGCTCTGCTTCTAGGGCAGTTGATCTGAAACAGTAGCTTTGCTTACATTTCCATTTTCCCTGAGTGTAATCACTTCTCCTCTGTAATTCTGTTTATCCTTTCAATCACAGATCAAATTCTCCCAAGAAGCTTTTTCAGACGTTAATTTTCAAGGAATTGTCATTGGTTATATTACTCTTTTGATTGTTCATGGTTTCAGAAAAAGATCCAGTAGGCCTAATACACCAGAAATTCTGAAACTTTTGTGTGCAGCGGACCTCTTTGGAAGGCTGGTGAAGCCTGTGGAACCTTTCTTAGAAGAGGCTTTTAGGCCGGGTGCAGTGGCTCATGCCTGTAATCCCAGCACTTTGGGAGGCCGAGGCGGGTGGATCACGAGGTCAAGAGATCGAGACTATCCTGGCTAACACGGTGAAACCCTGTCTCTACTAAAAATACAAAAAGATTAGCTGGGCGTGGTGGCGGGCGCCTGTAGTCCCAGCTACTCCGGAGGCTGAGGCAGGAGAATGGTGTGAACCCGGGAGGTGGAGCTTGCACTCAGCTGAGATCGCCCACTGCTCTTCAGCCTGGGCAACAGAGCGACTCTGTCTCCAAAAAAAAAAAAAAAAAGAGACTTTTAAGTATATAAAATAAATAGAATTACAAGACAAATATGATTAAGACAAGCCTGGGCGACATAGCAAGACCTCATGTCTACAAAATATTTAAAAATTAGCTAGGCATGGTGGCGCATGCCTGTAGTCCCAGCTACTTGGGAGGCTGAGGTGGGAGGATCACCTGAGCCCAGGAGTTTGAGGTTACAGTGAGCCGTGATCACACCCTAGCCTGGGGAACAGACTGAAACCATCTCTCTAAAAGGAGAAAAGGAATAAAAGCTACCTTGTAACATACTACTATGTTTGCTGCTTTATTAATTCATTAAATAACACAATCTAGCATTGGGTCAAATAATGTAAAAATAGGATTAAAGTAAGTGATATTTTGAGAGATCTACTACAACTAAAATGTGGTATGAAAATATCTATACTTTTTATGATTGACAAAGTCAAGAGTACTACAGGCAGCACTGTAATCTGTGACCTGCATTCATAATGAAAGGAAATGCTAAACTTCAGTTAGAGGTTAGTGAGAATAAAGATGTGATTTTTGGTTTTTCCCCCATCCAGGTTCACAGTGCTGATTCCTATTCATGGACACCTAGGGGGTTCTGTAGATCCCAAGTCAGGACTCCTGTGCTGGAGGATTTGCAGGCCTGGGAAGCAGACATTCAAGTCACTCAGCTTCACACTGAACACTCAAGTGTAGGCAGCTCATCCATCATTATAGCCTCTTGTGCTAAGCAGAGGAGACTCCACAACAGTTAGAAGAGAACAAGATGGTATAACCTCCCTCCCATCCCCCAGGAGATAGGTTAAGAAACTTTTCAAAGGTCCTGACAGGATTTCTCCATTATCAGGCAGTATTGGTCAAAGATGCCCTCATGGGGACTTGAAGGCCAGGAGAGCTTGCTGAGTTCATGGGGAGAACACAGTGGCCTTCAGACAATAATGGTCTCATCTCCTTGGCCTGTGTCCACTGGTAACCTCCATCAGTTCCTTTCACCCTGGTGATGGCCACTTAGTGTTTTATCAGTTAGCAGATATTTTTTGAGTGTTAGGTGGGGAACAAGTCTGTGCAGAATTTAGGGATGGAAATGATGTAGTCACCCTCAAGAAAATTAGATTATTATCAGAGATTGGATTAAGATGGTACATCTCTCTTCTTTCTTATCCCACATTTCCTGACGTAACAGAAAATGTAGTTTTTTAAAAAGAGTAAATTTGGCGGGGTGCGGTGGCTCATGCCTGTAATCCCAGCACTTTGGGAGGCTGAGGGTGGCAGATCACCTGAGGTCAGGAGCTCAAGACCAGCCTGGCCAACATGGTGAAACCCTGTCTCTAATAAAAATACAAAAATTAGCCGGGTGTGGTGGCGCGTGCCTGTAATCCCAGCTACCAGGGAGGCGGAGGCAGGAAAATCGCTTGAACCCGGGAGGCAGAGGTTATAAATCTTCCATTTTTTTCTTAGTCAGAAGGAGAAATATTTGGAGAAGAAAAATAGTGACGAATATTAATAGTGATGTGGAAGCTGGGACGAGGGAGTCTATGGGAGCAAGACGGTGGTGCTCTCTGGTTTTGGTTGGTTTCATGGGATATATGAATGGAAATAGAGGAGTGTGTTATACTAATATTATATTAGCTATAATAACAGCTCTATATTTACCCAGTACTTTTCATTTGTTCAAAACTCTTACACATTACCTAGTTTAATCTTCTCATCCTACTACTATATAGGAGAATGTCGCACCTAAAGGATTGCAGAGGAGGCACAAAGCCTATGCATATTCCCCAAGAATAGAAGCACTGGGAATGCCTTTGCGTTGCCACCTTTTTGGCTGGTTGAGGTATATACGAAGGAGGAACTTATCACAGAGAACCTAGCTAGTGGTTCTTAAATTTCAGTGTGTATTAACGGGGAGCCTGTTAGAGATATATTTTCTGGGCCCCCATCACTGAGATTTGGATTCAGCAAATGAAGTATGACTCACAAGCCTGCACTTTTAACAAGAGCTCTGGTCCATCTGGATAGGTGATCCAAAACCATACTTCCAGAAGAGCGGGTGAGGCAAATCTTCCTGTACCAGTTTGTCTTTAGGTGTGTCAATTGTACACACCTAAAATCGTGACTGGAGGCCGGGCTTGGTGGCTCACGCCTGTAATCCCAGCACTTTGGGAGGCCGAGGCGGGCGGATCACGACGTCAGGAGATCGAGACCACGGTGAAACCCCGTCTCCACTAAAAATACAAAAAAAAAAAAAAAAAAAAAAAAAAATTAGCCAGGTGTGATGGCGGGCGCTACTCGGGAGGCTGAGGCAGGAGAATGGGGTGAACCCAGGAGGCGGAGCTTGCAGTGAGCCGAGATCGCACCACCGCACTCCAGCCTGGGCGACAGAGCGAGACTCTGTCTCAAAAAAAAAAAAAAAAAAATCGTGACTGTAATTGTTTTGAGACGGGTCTCGCCCCGTCTCCCAGGCTGGAGTGCAGTGGTGCCATCACGGCTCACTACGGCTTCCACCTCCCGGGCTTAAGTGATCCTCCCACCTCAGCCTCCTAAGTAGCTGGGACTACAGGTGTGTCACCACGCCTGGCTAATTTTTAAATTTTTTGTAGAGTCGAGGTCTCCCTATGTTGTCCAGGCTTTTTTTAGTTTTTATGATTGTTACTTTAAGGATCAGTCTGAAATTCCCTTTAGTCACACTTACACGCTTGAACTCATTTCTGACACTAGTTATGGGCCTGTCCTGGGGAGTTCAAGTCCGGGACACACTATTAGGGAAATAACTGTCAGAGCAAAGAACAAAACCCTGTAAGAAAAAACTACGAGGCGACGGGTAATACAGAGGTCCTGGGCACTCTCGGAGACTGGCGGAGAAACCCGACACACACCTCCCATGTCTGTACTGTATTCCTCGAGAGCCTGACATACAGGTATTCAGTGAGTACTGGTTAAAAGAATAACAAACGCATTGACACACAAATTTTAACAGCTTCCCAAGGATTTTCTCTCAATCGCTTGTTAAGCTCAGGTCCTCGTCTGATAAACATGACGCTACATTTTTCCCCCTAATGTTATTTTGAAGTTTCGACGTAGATTAAATATGGCGACTGAAAACAAAGCAAGAGACAAAGTGCTTGCGCATCCCATGACCTCCCCACCGGCAAGGAAAAGGAGAAACAGGCGTGAGCAAGCAGTGCTGGTTGGCGCAGAGAGAGAAATACCAGGAACTCAGTACAGGCCGGAAGTCGGGGTACGGGGCCGCGCCAGCTTCAGGCGTCACTTCCCACGCGACTTCCTGCGGGAAACATGGCGGCATTGAGCGGAGTCCGCTGGCTGACCCGAGTGAGGCCCCGGGACATGTCGGGCAGGGGCGGGCGAAGGAGCGGAGAGTTTGTCCTAGGGTTTCCTAAACAGGGCAAAGTCAACTGTAGTGTTCGGGGTCTGGATGTCTCAAAGCTGACCTTACAGGCTTGTGTGTCCCTGTTGCAGGCGCTGGTCTCCGCCGGGAACCCTGGGGCATGGAGAGGTCTGAGTACCTCGGCCGCGGCGCACGCTGCATCGCGGAGCCAGGTATGCACGAATCTGGCTGGGGTCTCTCTTACGACCCTGTCCCTTCCTCGCTGCTCCCTCCCCTGGCTTTTCCCCACCCCTCCCGGGTCTCCCTACTTCTCTACTCCCAGGATCCGTGCTCCCGCCCCAGCTCTATCTTTACTTCTCCCCTCTTCCCCCAATTGAGGCCGAGGACGTGAGGGTGGAGGGCTCCTTTCCCGTGACCATGCTTCCGGGAGACGGTGTGGGGCCTGAGCTGATGCACGCCGTCAAGGAGGTGTTCAAGGTGAGTGGCCTCGGGGATCAGACAGTAGAGGACAGTAGTGTGTTGGAAAGGACTTGGCCTTGACTGTGATGTTTTGGGAACCTGTCTCTGAAGGCTGCCGCTGTCCCAGTGGAGTTCCAGGAGCACCACCTGAGTGAGGTGCAGAATATGGCATCTGAGGAGAAGCTGGAGCAGGTGCTGAGTTCCATGAAGGAGAACAAAGTGGCCATCATTGGTATGTGTGCCCTCTTGCCACTTGTCCATGTGCCATTTAAAATCAAATGACCAAATGTTTATTAAGCCCTTCTCCCCACATGCTATGCAATTATATTAACTCCAGGGCAACCACCATTGGTATTTGGACATTTGTTCCTTCCCATTGGGAGCCCAGGAGTTGAGAGATCATGTCAGCTGTCTATGCAGAAAAGTTCCAGGGGTTCTGAGTCTGTCCTGAGGCTACATCAACTGTCATCAAATCTTATTCATTGCATTTCTGGAATACCACTTTTAGCTGCCCCTTTTCTTTTTTTTTTTTTCCCCTCCCTTCCTTCCTCTTTGTTTCTTCTTGCTCTGTCGCCCAGGCTGGAGTGCAGTGGCGCGATCTCGGCTCACTGCAACCTCCCCGTCCCTGGTTCAAGCAATTCTCCTGCCTCAGCCTCCTGAGTAGCTGCGACTACAGGTGTGCACCACCACACCCAGCTAATTTTTGTGTTTGTTTTGTTTTAAGACAGAGTCTCGCTCTGTCGCCCAGGCTGGAGTGCAATGTTGCCATCTCAGCTCACTGCAACCTCTGCCTCCCGGGTTCAAGTGATTCTCCTGCCTCAGCCTCCTGAGTAGCTGGCTGGTATTACAGGAGCGTGCCACCATGCCTGGCTAATTTTTGTATTTTTAGTAGAGATGGGGTTTCACCATGTTGGTCAGGCTGGTCTCGAACTCCTGACCTTGTGATCTGCCCGCCTTGGCCTCCCACAGTGCTGGGATTACAAGTGTGAGCCACCATGCCCAGGCTAATTTTTGTATTTTTAGTAGAGAGAGGGTTTTACCATGTTGGCCAGGCTGGTCTCGAACTCTTGACCTCAAGTGATCCACCCACCTCTGCATCCCAAACTGCTGCGATTATAGGCGTGAGCCACCGTGCCTAGCTGCCCCTTTTCTTTTGTCTTCCGCGCTTTAATCTCCTCATTTGATTTTTTTGGCTTCTAGTTCTGCCCCTATAGTTCATCTTCCATATCTCTTCTTGGAAAGAACAGCCTGATTTTCCAGGCCCAGCCTTACCATAGGAAAGTCAGTACTTTATAAGTTGGCCCTTAATTTTCTGCCTTGGTTCCACAACTCTTGTTCTGTGCTTCAATCACACTAGATTGTGTGTTAGATTCCAAATATGTACTACCTGACTTATATTGTTCCCTCCACCCAGAACGTTCTTTCTTTGGTGCTACCTGTTAGAGTCCTTCTCACTCATTCACTGTATTAGTTTCCCATAGCTGCCGTAACACACTACCATGAACCTGGTGGCTTATCATTAACAGAAATGTATTCTCTCACAGTGCTGGAGGCCATCAGTCTGAAATTAAGGTGTTGGCAGGGCCCTGCTCCCTCTGAAGGTTTAGGGGAGAAACCTTTCTTGCCTCTTCTGGTGGCTCTTGCTGTTTTTTGACTTGTAGATGCATCACTCCAATATCTGTGGTTTTCTTCCCTCTCTGTCTCGGTATCATTTTTCTCCTCAAATATTTAGCCCTGGATGGGACGATTTTTTCTCAAGATCCTTAACTTAATTACATCTGCAAAGCCTCTTTTCCCAAATAAGGTCACATACATAGGTTCTGGGGCTCAAGGCATGGCTGAAGTGCCAGCTCTTCTGTGCTGTATCCTGATATTACTGGAGAGGATTTCCTCTTTGTGTTGCTATGCAAGTTTCCCATGGTACTTATCATGTCTTTCATATTTTCTGTCTTTCCCAGTGTACCGTTTGCTTCTCAAGGGCAGGAGTTGTATGGTTTTAGTTGTTATCCTTATTGCCTGACATATAATTGATATTCATCAGTAGGTGTTGGGTTAAAAAATGTCAAATAAGGAGAAGGCACAGATAAAAAGATCACAGATCTGCTAGCATTGTTTTTCAACTTGTTGTTAAACCCAGGCTCTTTTTTGATAAATAGAAAAAATCTGTTCTCCGTTTTGAAGTTTCAACATAAATTAAATATGTTGACTAAAAATAAAGCATTAAGGCCGGGGCGGGTGGATCACTTGAGGTCAGGAGTTTGAGACCAGCCTGGCCAACATGGTGAGACACTGCCTCTACTAAAAATACAAAAAATTAGCCAGGTGTGGTGGCACATGCCTGTAATCCCAGCTACTGGGGAGGCTGAGGCAGGAGAATTGCTTGAACCTGGGAGGCAGAGGTTGCAGTGAGCCCAGGTCGTGCCACTGCACTCCAGCCTGGGCGACAGAGTGAGACCCTGTGTCTCTCACACACGCACACACACACACACACACACACACAGAAAATGCAATAGATGAAATGTTTCTGGCTTTAACTACATTATTCTCTTTTGTCCCTTGCCCCCAGAGACAATTTAAAAGTTTACTGATGTGGGAATGGGAGATGGGAGTCTGGGTTACATGATGTTCCTAAGGGGGTTAGACACTGGTCTGAGTTCCCTTGGGCTTGGCCTGTGGCTGACACTCCTTTTCCCACTTTGTTTTCACAGGAAAGATTCATACCCCGATGGAGTATAAGGGGGAGCTAGCCTCCTATGATATGCGGCTGAGGTAGGTGGTCTGGGTGGGGTGAATGGTTGAGAGGTGCCAGGGCACCAGGAGCAGAGCTGATGGCCCTGCCCACCCTCAGGCGTAAGTTGGACTTATTTGCCAACGTAGTCCATGTGAAGTCACTTCCTGGGTATATGACTCGGCACAACAATCTAGACCTGGTGATCATTCGAGAGCAGACAGAAGGGGAGTACAGCTCTCTGGAACATGAGGTGAGGCCCCAGAAACTGGGGGAGGGCAAGGATGAAGATGGGAGAGAGGTGGAGCTCCTTGTTTCCCTTCCCAGTGTCACCTAGCTGCTGCTTTCTTCTTACCCAGAGTGCAAGGGGTGTGATTGAGTGTTTGAAGATTGTCACACGAGCCAAGTCTCAGCGGATTGCAAAGTTCGCCTTTGACTATGCCACCAAGAAGGGGCGGGGCAAGGTCACTGCTGTCCACAAGGCCAACATCATGTGAGGGGCATGGCTTTGTGTAGGATGGGTTCCTGGGAAGGTAGCCCCTGTACTTTCTTGGCTGATTCTGTCCCCTTTGGCCCATGGACAGGAAACTTGGGGATGGGTTGTTCCTGCAGTGCTGTGAGGAAGTTGCTGAACTGTACCCCAAAATCAAATTTGAGACAATGATCATAGACAACTGCTGCATGCAGGTGAGGCCTCCCCACATCTCTACTCATGGGGCGGAGGAGGAGGGTGGGGAGTGGAATTTACTTCATGCCTGCATCTCACCCTCTAGCTGGTGCAGAATCCTTACCAGTTTGATGTGCTTGTGATGCCCAATCTCTATGGGAACATTATTGACAATCTGGCTGCTGGCCTGGTTGGGGGAGCTGGTGTGGTCCCTGGTGAGAGCTATAGTGCAGAATACGCAGTCTTTGAGACGGTGAGGCTGCTTTCTCCCTCGGCCCTTCCTCTGACCTCAAGTCCGCCATTCCTCTCCCATCCCAATATCTCCACTTCCTAAGTGATCTTGGCCTGTTCTTCCCCCACGCTGCCCACCATGCCTCTTTTCAGTGACCCTGGCCTGAGCTCCCCCTCCCATAATGTCCTTTTCCAACCTAAGCCTCTGCATACCCCTCCTGCCTCCTCCCAGTGTCTAGCCTGCCCCTCTCTCCACAGGGTGCCCGGCACCCATTTGCCCAGGCAGTGGGCAGGAATATAGCCAATCCCACGGCCATGCTGCTGTCGGCTTCCAACATGCTGCGGCATCTTAAGTAGGTCATGGGAGGCTGTCGGCAGAGGTTGGGTGTCGTGAGGAGGAGCAGGTGGGGAAATTAGCGGGAGGTGTCTTGGGGGAGTCACAGTTTCTTCCTGTCCATATCCACAGTCTTGAGTATCACTCCAGCATGATCGCAGATGCGGTGAAGAAGGTGATCAAAGTTGGCAAGGTGAGTTGAGAAGAGTAGTGCTGGCTTCAGGATTTAGAGTAGTTCTGGTGTCAGCACCTCGGCACTACCCTCTGGGGAACCTGAATGGGGGTCTCCTTTCCCCCCAGGTCCCCAGAACATCTGCTCCCTGACATCCCTGCATCCCTCTCAGGGCTGTTCTTCATCTCCCTTCTCTTGGCTGTTTCATCCTCTTGATCTCTTTTGCCTCTTAGATCCCATCTGCTGTTCCCTCTTTCCTGCTCCATCCACTGCCCTTTTCATGGGCCATCTGAATGCAGAACTTGCAGCTCTCCTTGGGGGTGGAACAGCAAGGGATACAGGCAGGCTGAAGCATCAGCTTCACCTTCACGCCCCATCTCCTTTTCGCTGTGATTCTTTCCTTCCACCTGGTCTTGTCTCTATTTCTTCCAAGGAAGGTAGCCACATCCTGCCTCTGATCTGCGTTTCCCATCATCTTTGCCTGCTCAGCCTCCTGTCCTGCCCTGGCTGCAGCACAGCTAATAGTGGCTTAAGAGGAGTGGCAGGTCCATGTGCTTCCCATCCTGGCTCCTCCTTCCATTCCTGTGCATTGCCTTTTTTCTGGCTGTCACGCATTCTTGGCTTCCATTTCCTCAATCACATTGCCCTACCTCCCTTCATGGGCTCTCTTTTCTCCCTCCCCACGGCTGTTGCCGGTGGTGGCTGTAGGTGCGGACTCGAGACATGGGCGGCTACAGCACCACAACCGACTTCATCAAGTCTGTCATCGGTCACCTGCAGACTAAAGGGAGCTAGAGCCCTTTATTTCTTCCAACCTTGCAAGGACCACACTCCCCATACCCTTCAGTGCAGTGTACCAGGGAAGAGACCTTGTGCCTCTAAGCAGTGGACCATGGTCACCTTGCTGGGTAGAGCCTAGGTTGTCCTTGGGCCGGCTTCCTTAGGGGACAGACTGTTGGGTGGTGATGGGGATTGTTAGGATGGAGCCCAGGCCACATGGATGATGATGATTCTCCCCCACAGGTTCGAACCTCTGACATGGGTGGCTATGCTACTTGCCATGACTTCACTGAGGCTGTCATTGCTGCCTTGCCCCACCCATAGGCCCTGTCCATACCCATGTAAGGTGTTCAATAAAGAACATGAACCAACTCTTGTGAATTTGTTTTTATTGGGGAACACGGCACAGGGTGGGAAATGTCACCTTGGGCTATGGTATGCCCCACCTCCCAGAGAATGTCCATTTGCATTCTAATCTTCCTGGGATGCTTTATGGAACTTTTTCTTCTTCTTGGAGCTGCTCTTGCCAACCGCCTCTTCAGGCCCACTGCTGACCGGCTCCTCTTTGGAGAATTTCCTCTTTTTCTTGGAGCCACTTCTGTGGCCTGCCTCCTCAGGGTCATTAACTGTTTCCTCCTTGGGTGTAGACTTCTTCCTCTTGGGAATACTGGTGCTGCCAGCGGTCTCTTCAAGATCGCTACTCATCAACTCCTCCTTGGAAAAAGATTTCTTTTTCTTGGGTTTGGAGAAAGAGATAGATGGGTCTTCCATTCCATTCTCCTGAGGAACCTCCTGGGGCTTTTGCTTTTTCTTCTTTTTGGGTTTTTCACTCATCTCCTAAAGGGAAGGACAGGGGAACAGGCTGTGAGAACAGTGCTCATTACATCTTCAGCAATTAAGTAGCCAAGGCAGGGGAACGCGTGTCGTTAACATTGCCCAGTGTTTCTGGGATAGTTTAATTGTGTGGGTATAACTTTAGAAATCCACCCCAAAGGCTGTCCCAAATTAGAAGGAAAACATGTCATGAGAAATTACCTCAGCCCATTAAAAAAAAAAACCTAAAAAACACCCACCATGCTGGTCGCAACAGAACCATCATGCCAAGTTCCAGACAGGGCCCTGAAACACTGTTTAAGAAACTGGGTGCTAAATGAAAATCTCAGGGAGAATGATTGTAGCTTAGCACATTGGGGACCTCCCTGCCCCCATCCCCACTGTGAAACACGACCACCTCCGGACACACGTCTGATAATAAGCAGAGCAGGAATTTACACTACCCCAGGTTGAGGACTCCTGGGAGGCAGCCGAGGACAGAACACACATGCCCAGGGAACGGGTGTGAGCTACAACCAGCTCTCTGGGCTCTTGAGCAAGTTCAGCACCTATCTCCTTCCTATAGAATCAAGAGGTAGTTTTAGATGTTTCAGGTCCTTGTTTCAGTCCAAAAGCCTGGACTCAAGACCACAGCTTGATGCAGCATATCCTTTGTTCTGCTGTTGAAAATCCTACAACCTAGGATCTCTGCCAGGGCCGTGCTGCCTACTGACCTCACACTCCTCTGGAGTACTACTGCTGTTTTCTGAAGACGCGAGGGCAAGTGCAGCCAGCCGTTTCTTTTCCTTCTTTAAGCGTTTCTTCTCCTGTTTCTCCAGCTTCCTAGTAATCTCAGCAGCCGCTTCCTCTGCCTGGTCAAAGAAAAGTGCTAAAAGGGCCTGAAGACTTCTGGTGCTCTGAGGACTCCTTTCTGGCTTTATTGGATCAGGCTCATTAAATCAGTTTTTTTGCCTCCATTCTACAAGGTCAGGCTCAGACAGTTCATCACCTCCAACAGCTAGCTATGCCACTCCACACCCAGCAAAGCCCAACTGACCTGAACCATTGCTTCCTTCATGACATCCAGATTCTTTCGTGGTATCTCTCCAGTCTCATAGAAGGACAGTCGCTCTTCAACTTGTTCTCGAAGCTTCTCCCCGAATACACTCGTGGGCACCTCTGGATGTGTGTGGGTGACAAAGCCTGTCAGCCCAAAGAGAGAAACTACCCCAACCCTGTGTTCCCTCTACCCTCAGCTTCACTCAGACCCAGAGTCTCAACACTCACTAGGTGAACTGCTGTTGACGAAAAATATTGCCATCATTGTGGAAGCTATGGTTGCAAGCCTCCCCACCCAGCCACCCAGCCCCTTCTCACACCTGCCAACGCCCCCCCACCCATACCAGAGAAGCAATCGATTCGTGAGGCAATACTGCATTTGTTTGCCAGGTATCGGGAGATGCGGCCTTTGTTCTTGGCAGCTGCTCGGCCAATGAAGGTGGAGTGGAAAATGAGTCCATATTTTGGAGTGTTACCCCTTGTCTTCAGGGCTCTGAGAGAATATTCAGTGGAGAGTTTAAGATCAGAAATTTCAACCCCATTAGCCAAGGCAGCTCAGCTCCTCCCCTCCTCTCACCCCGAAGTCCTGAGTGAGCCTCAGGCCAGATTGGATCTCTACCCCAATGCATGCCAACCCATAGCTCCCAGAGGCAGAGGGAAGGCATCCAATGTCGCTGACCTGGAAACTTGGTCCCTTTGCTGGGCCCTGGGAATCACTCAGACACCAGGACTGGCCATCACCCCCATAGCAGAGGCCTGTATAGGTCAGGGAGCCCTGGTCAGCCATCACCGTGATCCCCCAACAAGCAGTGGGCACCAGAAGTGGCACCTGATTGTGGGCAGGTGCCCTCACTGGTACCTGAACAGGGCCTTTTCAGCCCCAAGGATCTGCACTGTGGATGCTGGATACTTGGCCAGGTTGGTGAGGCTGCCAGCATGTGCGATGAGACGTGCACCTACCTGGAGAGAGAGTCAAGGAAGCAGTCAGAGAAATGAACTGCTGACCTGCCCAGTTGCACGACAGCCCTGCTCCCCACCTCCCCATCAAGCACAACTAGGGAAGACATGGTGGGTCACGAAATACAGCAGTGCAGGTGCACATGGCAACAGTCCTTATTCTCCCATTTTTGAGTCCCCTGTGACGCACCGCTTCCCCAATTAGGGCTGACAGGCTGGGGGCTACTTGGCTCATCTTGGAGCGCAGGTAAGTGTGTAGGCTCTGGCGGTATTCAGATAAAGACACCACACGACTGGAGAAGCTCTCGATGTTTATCAAGTCAATGGCAGATATGTCCATGCCTAGGAAAAACCAAGTGTGAATGCAAGAGGCCAGCTATTTAGAGCCCCATACCTTATGCAGGTTGCCAGGCTCTGCACTGACCCATGGAGGACCGTGAGGCATCCAGAATAGCCTTAGCCTTGGCCCCATCCATTGTCAGCTCCTCCAGCTTCTCCAGCTTGTCCTCATTCAGTTCCCTTCGGTTTCCAATAAACTGGGCAAGACGGCAGTATGTGGCATTGTCGTTGATGATCTTCACCAGCTCCGGAAAGTGATACCCGTACCACTCCCTGCAAAGAGCCACAGTCACTCCCTGGCCCAGCTGCTTCATCAAAAACCATAGAGCTACAGCCTTGCCTTCTCCACACCTACTCTGCCTGGAGGAAATGGGACAAAGATCCAAATCTTCCTCAATTCTATGTTCCCCCATTCACAATACAGACCAGGCACAGGGCCTGAGCTGAGGTGTATATGGGGTAGGTTTACTCTACCTCCTCTTTCTATACAGTCAGTGTAAGAACACAGCCTGTGGTAAGCACCAGGAGGCCTACACCCAGCCCCAGCCCACATGGTTCTACCCACAGGATGGTCAGTCCTCATCAAGACTCAAAATTAACTGAACTACAGACCAAAGGCTCCAGTATTATGGGTGGCCCCTGCACTTTACCTGACACGCATAGAGAAGGTATTGATGTCCTTATCCAGCTGGTCCAGGAGGCTAATGGACTGGATGATCATATTGTCCACCCGGTTCACATTAAACTTAACTTTGGCACGGGAATAGCTGTGTCCCAGCCCCAGCTGTGCTTTACAAGCTGACAGATCGGTCAGACCCTTCACCAGATTGTGGAAGTGCAGACGAACTCCTAAGAAGAGGGCAAGACGGTGAGCAACAAGGGGCTCTGAGCTAGCTCCCGCACCCACGGGCACCAGCCCAGCCTGAAGGCCTTCCCAGAAATCACAACAAGCAACCAAGTTTCCAGAACCTCCTCCCCCAAAATGTCCAGGATAACAGGAATATAACAGATGATGGTCTCACCTCGCAGGATCTCAGCTATGACTCCTCCAGTCTGGCAGTTGTACCCTAACTCCTCCTGTATTGCGGCACCAATCTTGGGATCCCCAACTCCCAAGAGTACTTTCTTCTTTTTGGACGGCAGGTGGGTCTCCAAGAGCAGGCGGAGGTCCTCATGAACAACCCCTCAGGGGAAAGAACACAGTTCCCACTAACAGGCTGAAGGACGATCAACTCTAACATCCCTCAGCTGACTACCCTGGTCCCACCGAGCACGCTGGGATGGCATACCTAGATCCCTCCCCATCAGGCATTGCTCAGAGACATGGAGACATCAGTGATTGCACTCAGGGGATTGACAGATTTGATTCGCAAGTCATCACTGCAAAGCCTGGCCCAGCCATGGGAACAACTGCATTCAGGTCTGATAGCACAAGTGGGCAATAAATAATAGCTTGTAACACACCCTCGAGTATTTCGTAGAATTTGCCTTCTGGAACCAAACCTTTTTTTCTCAGCCTGTGTTTACCCAACTGCCCTTTCCAATCGAACAGAAAGCAGAGAACCAGACACTTGATTGTGTTTAGGCAAAACCTCAGGCACAAGTAGGTGTTAAGCCGACCCCCTTTAAGAAACCCCCCTTTGTCGGCCGGGCACCGTCGCTCGCGCCTGCAACCTCAGCACCTTGGGAGGTCGAGGCGGGCGGATCACGAGGTCAGGAGATGGAGACTAGCCTGGCCAACATGGTGAAACCCCGTCTCTACCAAAAATACAAAATTAGCCGGGTGTGGTGGCTGGCACAGGCCTGTAATCCCAGTTACTCGGGAGGCTGAGGCAGGAGAATCGCCTGAACCAGGGAGGCAGAGGTTGCAGTGAGCCCAGATCTTGCCACTGCACTCCAGCCTGGGGGACAGACTCCATCTCAAAAAAAATAAAAATAAAAAATAGTTTGTCACTACAGTGCCCACAAGGAAACGTTAACACACATTCCACATCGTCTGCTTAAACAGTTTGGTCTAGCACAGTTCCCAGACCTTGAGCTCTGTGAAGACAATTATTTCAAATTACACATTGTATGGCTCAAATACTGCCTCACGCCTATCAGACTCAGAGCCAGCCAAGGACGGCAAATACTATCACAAGCTGCCCGAGAGGATACCGAAAGGAACCACATCTCTCTGTGACACTTGGCGGTGGCCGACTTACCTTCAGACACGGCGTTGGCATTTTCCAAGGCAACCTGGGATGAGGCAAAGGGACAAAAGGCCACCAGACGAACGATGCTGTGGAATTTGCCCAGGTTGAGCACAGACTCCTCCACCTGGGGGGAGAAAGAGGCTAAGTGGTTTCCTTCCCTCCCTCCTGCCTCTGCGGCGCAGTCAAGCAGCGGTTCTCAGCCTTGGAAGCTCTTAAAATATGCTGATACCTGGGCCCCACATCCCAGCTTCTGCTTTAATCGTTCGGGGGCGGCGTCCGGGAGGCTTATTTCTAATTGCTAGAGCGATTCTACCCATGGGTCAAGGTAAAGACCCCCGGATCTAGAGCTTTCCAGGCCCGTCCCCCCGCCCCGAACCGCTCGGCCGGCCACGTGGGAGCGCGCTGTGCATGCTGGGACCCGCGCGATGAGGGTCTGCGGGGCCGCCAAAGGAGCCCACGGATCTCACCCACCTGCGGCTGCAGCAGACTGATCTCCTCCACTTCCTTCAGCGCCAGCAGCGCGTAGCCGACCGCGTGCTCAAACAGCACGTGCAACAGCACCTGGAACGGGAGCCGGGGCGCGAGCGTCAACGCAACCTCAGCGTCTGCCGGAACCCGTTCCCAGGGCAGGCGCAGGCGCAGGCGCAGGCCCAGGCCCAGGCCCAGGCCCTGTCTGCGGCCCGAACGCAGGCCGAAACCCCCACCGTCGCGTCGCCCGCGCCCCGCAACCACTCCTCACCATGGCGCCAGCTCCCGGGTTCGGCTCGCAATGCGGCTAGCGCGCTCCGGCGCGCGGAACCAGGCTCCAGAGGCCACGCCCCCGCCCCCCCGACCAATCGGAGGCCGGGGACGACACCATCTCCGGCCTTTGGAGGGGCCGCCCAGGGTGGTATCGCCCGGAGCGCGGGCTGGGTGGTGCCGAGCGCGGGCGAGCGGGCCTTTTCCGGCCTCTGCAGCTGCGCGGGCGGGCGTGGTTGCCGGGGACGCGCGGCCCCCGGTCGGGCACTGCAGGCGGCGAAACGACTTGGGAAGGCCCTTTCGGGGTAATAGTCCGGTTCCTGATGTTCTTGTCATATGAGTTACGGGCAGCAGAGCTGGGTGAAGTCGGGGCGGGAGGTCCGCGTGGGGCGCGGCGTCCATCCCAGACAGAGACCGCTGCCTAGCCGGCTTCCCGCTTCGTCCGTGGCCTCGGGCCCCAGACCCTGCGCCCCACGTCCCCGGGACCCAGGCGTTCCCGTCCCCTACTCGGGGACGAGCCTCCCCGGCGCCGGGTGGGCGGTGCATCCTTTCCTCCCACCCGTAACGGGAGCGGTGCCTGGCGCGCTCTGGCGCAGACCCTGCTGGGAATGTAGCTCGCGCAGTTTTCTTCGTACTATTAATTTATTTCTTTTTTTTGTTTTTGGTTTTTTTTTTTTAAATGACTGTAGCAGGCAGTAACGTGCGAAAGAAAGACGCTCCAGCGTCTTCCTAGGCCAGTTTCTTGTTGCTGTGCTGCACGGGACCCAGCTCCTTTTGCTGGGCCACGTGTTGCTCCTCCGCTTGGGCGGCCCTGAATTCTGGGCGCTGGTGATCGCTGAGTGAATCGCAGCTGCTTCCCTGTCCTTGAGGGCGTCTTTTGGGCACTCAGGCGACTCTTTAGAAATGAGTTTTGCTTTAATAATTAATATTAACGTTATAAATCCAAAACCTAGTTATACTTAAGTAGCGTATCCCCTGGTATGTTTTAAAGAGTCATTCGAAGGGGATTTTTAAAAATAATGTATAGCTATAAACTGCATTTATACATTTAATTGTTATTTTGTTAAGCGATTGAGTTACTTGACAAAATCCAAGTACATAGTTCACTCACAAATCTAATATGTCAAACCTAAATGTGGTTGGTAAATCTTACTCTCATAATTTCAATATGGTTTACAGATGTGGTTGAATTCTGTTACACATGTCTACTTACGAGTCAGAATCGTTATTCCATTTAATATTTTAAAATGGAATTGCCAAGTTAATCCATACATTAGCATGTTAAATTATTTTAACCGTCGTGAATACATCAAAATAGACGATTCCAAAATGTAATGGAAAATACTAATGCTAATACTTCAATTTACTTCATTATTTCTGCCCTTAATCCTGAATCTTCCTGGAGTTACAGGTGCTTATCCACTAAACCAGGGGTTTTCAAGCAAGAAGTCAGAATGCATTAATGGACAGCATTTAAAAAAATAGGATTGGGTGGGCTATAATCCAGCACTTTAGGAGGCCGAGGCAGGCGGATCACTTAAGATCAGGAGTTCGAGACCAGCCTGGCCAACATGGTGAAACCCCGTCTCTACCAAAAAATAAAAAAATTAGCTGGACGTGGTGGAGCATGTCTGTAATCCCAGCTACTCGGGAGGCTGAGGAAGGAGAATCGCTTGAACCCGGGAGGCAGAGGCTGCACTCTAGCCTGGGCAACAGAGCAAGGCTCTGTCAAAAAAAAAAAAAAAAAAAAAAAAAAGAAAAAGGATTAAAGCGAATAGAAATAAGAGTGTGTTGCTTAGAGTAAGGTGCTGTTCATTGTAAAACTTTTGTCTCAGCTCTACATACATATATAGAAATATGTACACAAATATTTTTCATATATACATATATATGTAACTATATGAACACACTTTTGTGTGTTAAATCAGAATATAAAAAACCTGAGGGTCAATCAATGAGCCAAAAGGTAACCAGTCGTACTCTGGAAAAATTTGGGTCCTCTGGTTACAAAGGAGCTGTCATGAAGTAGTTTGCTGACTTACAGAGATGGCTGAAGAAAAGTGCTTCTGCTGGTGAGATAACCAATGCTTGTGATCAGATATGGATGTGGTATGAACATTAAAAGGTTTCCTTCGGTTTTCTCATCTCCATCCCTTCAATAAAATATCTCACCCTGATACTTGTAGTCTGACTCTAGTGGGATAACACAGGACTCCTGTTATCCTTGACACTGTTATCCAGTTATCCAGGGGGCATCTCTGCAACCTGTGGTGGAGTAGACCATCTTTGCCTTCCGCTTGGACTGTTTGCTGGGTGCACTGCTCCTGTCTAGGCTCAGGTCTTCACCACCAAAGTAGACTTTTTACAAAACCTTTGGTTTCCCCTTCAAGGCACTTTCTACTGCCAGAATGATCTTTCTAAGGCAGAATATCCAACCAGGTGCAATTTGTGGGTGCTTACAGGGTCATGAAATACCACCTATGGTAGTTAGTTTCCACAAATGGCCAAGATAGACGTGTGGGTGAAGCCATCCTGTGTGTCCCAGCCCCTGTCACCATCTCAGTGCAGCCATGTAAGGCCCCAAACAAGACCAGCAGAACCACCATCTGCATCTTGTCTACCCTGATTGTGACAAATAGTACATTGCGGTTTTCAGCCACTAAATGTAAGGGTGAGTTGTTAAGCAGCAGTAAATTTGAATCGGTCAGCTCACGTGGGTTCAAGCCCCAGCTCTGCCAGTACTTACAATGTGATCTTAATCACTGAATCTTCCTGAGCTTTCATTTCCTTTGCAGAATGAAGGTTGGGGTTTCATTCATCCCTTTAACAAACATTTATTGAAGATCTCCTGTGGGCCAGGTGTGACAATGGTGTACCTGGCATGTAGTGGGAGCTCAAAAAATATTAGTGGTCTTTCATCTTGCTCTTTTGTCCTTTAATTAATAAATAGCACAACAAAATGTTTTATCACCTATTTTCAGTTGAGTCTCAGTTCTCTGCAGTTATCACCTTGCATAGAAGCTACTGAAACCTCATTTTTTTCTTTTTTGGGACAGGGTCTCCTGTAGCCCAGGTTGGAATGCAGTGGCACAATCTTTGCTCATTGCAACCTTGATTTCCTGGGCTCAAGTGATCATCCTGCCTCAGCCTCCCAAGTAGCTGGGACTACTGGTGTACACCCCCATGCCTGACTAATTTTTTTGTAGAGATAGGGTTTTGCCATGTTGCCCAGGCTGATCTCAAACTCCTGGGCTTGAGCTATCCTGCTCTCCTCTGCCTCCCCAAATGCTGGGATTACAGGTGTGTGCCACCACACCCAGCTAATTTTTGTATTATTGGTAGAGACGGGGTTTTACCATGTTGGCCAGGCTGGTCTCGAACTCCTGACCTCAGGTGATCCACCTGCCTCGGTCTCTCAAAGTATCGGGATTACAGGTGTGAGCCACTGTGCCTGGCCAGGATCTTATTTTTTATGGCTGAATAGTACTCCATTGTGTATACATACCACGTTTTCTTTTCTTTTTTTTTTTGAGATGGAGTCTCGCTCTGTTGCCCAGGCTGGAGTGCAGTGGCGTGATCTCGGCTCACTGCAAGCTCCACTTCCTGGTTCAGCCTTCTGAGTAGCTGGGATTACAGGCGTCTGGCACCACACCTGGCTAATTTTTGTATTTTTATTTTATTTTATTTTATTTTATTATTATTATTATTATTATTATTATTATTATTATTATTATTTGAGACGGAGTCTCGCCCTGTCGCCCAGGCTGGAGTGCAGTGGCGCAATCTTGGCTCACTGCAAGCTCCGCCTCCCAGGTTCACGCCATTCTCCTGCCTCAGCCTCCCGAGTAGCTGAGACTACAGGCGACCGCCACCGCATCCGGCTAATTTTTTGTATTTTTAGTAGAGATGGGGTTTCTCCGTGTTAGCCAGGATGGTCTCAATCTCCTGACCTTGTGATCCGCCCGCCTTGGCCTCCCTAAGTGTTGGGATTACAGGCGTGAGCCACCACGTCTGGCTAATTTTTGCATTTTTAGTAGAGAGAGGTTTCACCATGTTGGCCAGGCTGGTCTCAAACTCCTGACCTTGTGATCTGCCTGCCTCAGCCTCCCAAAGTGTGAGCCAGCGCTCCCTGCTGATTTTTGTATTTTTAGTAGAGACGGGGTTTACCATGTTGGCCAACCTGGTCTCAAACTCCTGACCTCAGGTGATCTGCCTGCCGCGGCCTCCTAAAGTGATGGGATTACAGGCATGAGCCACCATGCCTGGCCTGTATATCTTATTTTGAGAAATGTCTATTCAGATCTTTTGCCTATTTTTAAATTGGATTATTATGTTTTTTCCTTAAAGAGTTGTTTGAGCTCCTTATATGTTCTAGATTTTGGATTTTCGAATTAGGGATGCTCAACCTGGTAAGTATTATGCAAATATTCTAAAATCTGAAAAAGAATTTGAAATCCAAAACACTTCTGGTTGCAAGCATTTTGGATAAGGGATACTCAACTTGTACTAACCTGTGACCCCTGACTTCAGAGACTTTGCAATCCTGGGAGACTGAATATAATCAGGTGCTAAGATGCAGTTGTATGCAAGCTGACAGGAAGACAATTTGGCCCAGTGTTCCTGAGGTAGACTTCATGGCAAGAAGGGATTTAGCTATTCATAGAAGAGTGTGTAGGTCATTTAGAGATGGAGGATGGAAAGAGAGTGGAAGCAAAAGCCAGAAACAAGAGAAGAACCTGCTAGAGGTGTAAAATGCAAACTGGTCAGTAGTTGGACAAAAGACTGAAGGATCTAGAATGTAAGAAACCTTGAATGAAAGTCAGGATGAGTGGTTTTGGTCTGATGAGACTCTTGCTTTTCCATTAAGCAGTGTTTGGAGATTAATTTGGAGGTGATATGGAGGACAAATTGCTCACAGGGCTCCCACTGAGCAAATGTCCTGCAGGGACAGCAGGTCTGAGTGGGAGCCATGAGTTTCCCAGATGTGCTCCAGGTTCCACATTAAAGCCAGGTGGCAGGTGGGGCCTATTTCTTTTTCTCTGTCCATAAGACTGTTCACCCATTGGGAAGAACCATATACTATATCATCTGACCTTTTTCATTTAGCCCAGCCTATGGCTAACTGTGTCATTTTGGTGTCCATTAGCCCAAGGTTTTTACTCTGGCAACACTAATGGGGACCTATGGAAGTGGAATGTGCTATTTCAGTTTCAGTGCCAGGCCATGCACAGTGGCTCACGCCTGTAATCCCAGCACTTTGGGAGGCCGAGGTGGGTGGATCACTTGAGGTCAGGAGTTCGAGACCAGCCTAGCCAACATGGTGAAACCCCATCTCTACTAAAAATACAAAAATGAGCTGGGCGCGGTGGTGGGCACCTATAATCCCAGGTACTTGGGAGGCTGAGGCAGGAGAATCGCTTGAACCCGGAAGTCGGAGGCTGCAGTGAGCCAAGATCGCTCCACTGCACTCCAGCCTAGGCGACAGCGAGATTCCATCTCAAAAATAAATAAATAAATAAATAAATAAATAAATAAATAAATAAAATAAATTCAGTGCCTTGGGAGAGCTTCGGGAAAGGAAATTTCATGAAACTACCACAAGAGGGCGGCACTTTATACTCCTTTTGTGAGTGAGAAAATTCTCATAAAATTTAAAAGGCTTGCTAGCAATTCCTGGGCTCTTTTCTCAAAAGTGGAAAGAAACCCTACAATATTCTTTGGCAGTGAGTTACATGTATATGCAGCATTTCTTTATAAAGACACAGGAGAATGAAAAGTACCTTGGGAAGGTGGTTTAGCCCAGCATTCCTTGTGTTTTTTTGGCAGTGATGACCTGGCAGCTTCTGAAGCCTGGCCATTGATTAGGATTATAGAGCACAAGATACTGTTGTGTTTATCCCCTGAGCCCAAGGATGTTAGATCTTATCCATGCCTGTGATGATATCTGTTATTTATTGAGTACTTAGCATAATGCTTGGCACATTACAGTCTTACTTCCATCAACTTGTTGAATCTTCACAGACAAATTTGGAGGTTGGTTTTATATAGCCCATTTTCCAGACGCGGTTCAGTGATAGAGTTATCTGTATGCTCTATATACCACATCTACCCCAACTATGACCTTGGGCCTTTCTTCATGTTTTTCAAGCTAATACTATATTGAAAGATAAAGTATCTGGCACAACACTGCAGACAGTTGTCTTTAATAGCAATCCTCACACTCTATAAACAAACCTGCTTAGAATATTTGATGGTACTCACACACCTGGTGATTTTGCCATTGAAAATTATACTTCAGTTTTTATTCCCTAGGAATCAAAAGGGATAAAGTTCCTATCTTATTTTTGTTTTTGAGACAGGGTCCCTCACTTTGTCACCCAGGCTGTAGTGCAGTGGTGTGGTCTCGGCTCACTGCAACCTCTGACTCCTGGGCTCAAGCGATCCTTTCCATCTCAGCCTTCCGAGTAGTTGGAACTACAGGCATGCACTGGCTAATTTTTGTATTTTTTGTAGAAATGGGGTATCACCATTTTGCCCAGGCTGGTCTCGAACTCCTGGGCTCAAGCAATCCACTTGCCTCAGCCTCCAAAATGCTAGGATTACAGGCATGAGCCACCATGCCTGGCCTCTATCCTTAGTTTTAAAGTCATCTCTTGGGAACAGCTTATAGGATTTTAAAATCTCCATCAGATAGTCTTTGCCTTCTATCTAGAAGTTTAGTCCGTTTGCATTTATTTTGATTCCTGATATATTTTGGTTTATTTCTTTCGTCTTATGTGCTTTATATTTTATTTGTTGTGCTATTTTTGTTTATTTGCCTTTTTTCTTCCTGTTTTGGAGGCACTATCAACCTAATGCCACTTTTTTTTTTCTTTTCTGAGATGGGGTTTTGCTCTTGTTGCCCAGACTGGAGTGCAATGGTACAATCTCGGCTCACCACAACCTCCGCCTCCCGGGTTCAAGCGATTCTCCTGCCTCAGCCTCTCGAGTGGCTGGGATTACAGGCATGAGCCAACATGCCCAGCTGATTTTTGAATTTTTGGTAGAGACGGGGTTTCACCATGTTGGACAGGATGGTCTCGGCCTCTTGACCTTGTGATCCACCCGTCTTGGCCTTCCAAAGTGCTGGGATTACAGGTGTGAGCCATCACGCCTGGCCTGAAAGTCTTGAAAAAAATAAATTAAAATTTTCATTTGAGTTTTTTGGAACATACAGATACAGTTGACCCTTGAACAACATGGGTTTGAACTTCACAGATCCACTTATATGTGATTTTCTTCCATCTCTGCCACCCCTAAGACAGCAAGACCGACCCCTTTTCTTCCTCCTCCTCCTCCTCCTCAGCCTACTCAGCATGAAGATGACAAGGATGAAGACTTACGATGATCCACTTTTGCTTGATGAATATTAAATATATTTTCTCCTCTTCATGATCTTCTTAATAACATTTTTTCCTAGCTAGCTTATTCTATTGCAAGAATACAGTATTAATACATGTAACATATAAAATTTGTGTTAACTGACTTTATGTTATCAGTAAAACTTCCATTCAACAGCAGACTACCATTAGTTAACTTCTGGGGAAGTCAAAAGCTATACATGGGTTTTTGACTGCAGGGGGGTCAGCACTCCTAGACCCAGTGTTGTTCAAGGGTCAACTGTAGCATATGAATTTAGAGCCTCTCTGTGAGAGCTGCCTTGTGGCTAGAACTTCTCAATGGAGACTTTTTCTCCTCTACTTTCTGCCAAGGTCAAGAGAAATACATGTCTCTTTCTGCATGGCGGGTTTATTTTTTATTGTCCATTATTGAGCATGAGGAACTTGGTGCTCCAGCTTTGGGTGGGTCTCTACCCACCCACTTCAGAGCACGTCTGAAGTGACTTTACTGAGCTGAGCGTTACCACCATAGTGAGTGCTATTGGTAACCTGCCCAGATCACCTTACTGGCTGGTGCATCAGCCCCTCCCCTTAGTTTCTGCGAGTGTGCAAATCAGTGGGAGACCAGGTATCCCCTTTGATCTTCTTCATCTAAAGTGTCTTCCTACTTATGTGATTCTGTGTACTATGGAGCTCTTAGGAAATAGAAATGGAAGTTGAAGTTATTAGAAGTGAAAGGATCAGCCTACAAAAATAGCTTCCAACAGATAAAATCCAGCATCTGCTCCATTTCTCTCCAGTTAGGAATGCGCAGCCAAACTAGGGTAATATCAGCAGGACACCAGTTATATTTCTCTGGATAAATGGTTAATTTTCTTCTTTCTTTTTTTTCTTTTCTTTTCAGACGGAGTCTTGCTCTGTCACCCAAGCTGGAGTACAGTGGTACAATCTCGGCTCACTGCAACCTCCGCCTCCTGGGTTCAAGCGATTCTCCTGCCTCAGCCTCCCAAGTAGCTGGGATTACAGAAGCGCACCACCACACCTGGTTAATTTTTGTATTTTTAGTAGAGACGAGGTTTCACCATGTTGGCCAGGCTGGTCTCAAACTTCTGACCTCAAGTGATCCACCCACCTCGGCCTCCCAAAGTGCTGGGATTACAGGCATGAGCCACCACGCCTGGCCAGAGTTGTCTTGATAGAGGTCTTGTAATTATTTGAATTAGAAAATTTTCTGTTAAAATATGTCCACAAATTCTTTGGTAACCCTCCCTTCAAGAAGTGAAGCCTAAATCCCTTCCCTTCCAGTGTGAGCTAGACTTAGTGACTCAGTTCTATGAGTAAAAGTGGTGGAACTGATAGTGTGACTTCTGAGACTAGGTCATAATAGGCATTGTGGCTTCCTCCTTGCTCTCCCTCTCAGATCACTTGCTCTGGGGGAAACCAGCAGCCATGTTGTGAGGACACCCAAGCAGCTCTATGGAGAGGCCTACATGGAGAGTAACCAAGGTCCCCTATCAATAGCCAGCAAGGAACAGAAGCCTCCTGCCAACAGTCACGTGTGAGCCATGTTGAGAGCAGATCTTTCAGTCCCAGTCAGACCTTCCAATAATTGTAGCCCTAGCTGAGAATTTGACTGAAATATCCGGAACCACATCTGCCTAGTTAAGCCACTCCCAAATTTATAACCCACAGAACAGAAACTACATACAATAATACATAATTGTTTATTGTTTTAGGCTGTTATGTTTTGGGAATAATTTGTTATGCAGCATTAGATGACATATACATTCCGTCACATAAAATTACACTTCATCAGATCAGGATGGTTGGTTTGTGTTTGTGGTGGGTATTTATGTGTATTAGTAACCAGTGGAGGCCTGACAGTAATCACTAGGGGACCAATGGCTCAGGCAGGCAGAGTGTTCCCTGCCTCAGGGCCTGGCATTCTGATGCAGAAGGCCAGGTGTTGGTGTGGTGGCCATCTTTGGGCCTTCTGGTCCTGATTGGTTGGGTTACAGTGCCAGGATCCCTGTACTGAGGTTTCAGGTAGGTTAGCTTGGGGGAAGGCATATGACACACAGGCAGTTTTGGATTTGGGGCTTGGACCTGGGTTCCATGGAAATCAGGCATTGCAACATCTTCGTTAGCCTTGCCAGGAGAGATTGGTGTGAAATAATTTATCCTGTTTCTCCTGGTCACATGTCCCTATTATTCCATTGCAGTTTGTATATATATGTGAAGTTTTGGTGCTGGATTGAGAAGGGAAGGGATTTGGGAGGGAAGTTAGAAATTATTTTAATTGTACAGCTTATGAAATTGCTGTAAAAATCTTCGTCTCTCTGCCAGGGCTTTGCCTGACTTTCTGAGTCTGGGGGATTCTCCTGAGAACCCCTGGGGGCCTGGTTGGGTGGTGGCTGTAACAGTTGATGAGGTTAAGGTGGCTGACTCTCTTTAGAACACTCAGAGACATGGGTGAGAGGGTCTCTGGGGCCCTCTGAGGCCTCACTGCTTACCTGGGTCTGGGAGCACAGAGTGGAGGAAAGGAAGGAGCTGTGTGCAAGATAGCTGGGCTGTTGCAGAGTCCTGGACTGTGACTCCCACCCTACCTAGGCTCTGCCCTTGCCATCAAGGCCTTCTTAATGGTCTGGCCCCTGGCTTCTTCCCCCTAAGAAATATTCTGCATAGAACCATGATATGACACTAAGTGAACATAGAATCCCCAGAGACAACGCTCTGCATTGTACCTTTTGCAAAACTCTTCAGAGAAACCATCTTCAAGGTCTTTTGTACAATAATCATGTTATCAAATTCCTTTTAGAATTTGGTGCATGAAAAAGATTTTTCTGCCCTGGGTAAGGCAGGTTTCCTTCCAAGATAAGAGGCACTGGGCAACTCACTCGCTCCTGTGATTCACTGTTTTCACTCCCTGTTTTGTGCTCCATGGTGTAAGCTTCCCTTGGGCTGGGTACTGGGGTATCACCAGTCTTCCCACCAATCCCCACTCTCCATGACTGGTCTTTGGTCCATTTACCTTTATTTTCATTCACTTTCATTTACTTTGATTCATTTATCTATTTGTAGAGACAAGGGTCTTGCTCTGTTGCTCAGGCTCATCTGAAACCCCTGGCCTCCCACTTCAGCCTCTTAAAGTGTTGGGATTACAGGTGTGAGCCACCACTCCTGGCCAGACTTG